>NW_003315920.1:0-82728 GCF_000001405.40 Homo sapiens | reverse complement strand
TTAATATTTTTGTTCTATCATCATACACGGACAGTACTATGCTTTATTTTAAAAAACAATATTTATGTGTATTTAAGTATTACATTTACAATAACTATTCGTTATCCCCTATAAATATAAGACTTTGCATTTATAAGATCTATATTGCATCATATAATAACAAAATAAATAAAATGTATATACTAATGCATATATAAAAATATATACATATACATAAGCTAACATATAAACATATCCTCATGACTAGATACACTCTATTGGAAGATTTTAAAATGGAAATTAAGTTTTTAAAAATTATTTTGAACTGAATCTTTCGGGGCAGAGGAGTCTGTACCCTCTAAGCACAATTTATCCTTTGTGTTACAACAATTCAATTACACTCTTATAATTATTTTAAAAGGCACAATTAAATTATTATTGACTATATTCATTCATTGTGATATCAAATATTAGGTCATTCTTTCTTTCTATTTTTTTAACCTATTAATCATCCCATTAATCATGAGTTTGAGTTTTTGACATTGTGTTGTAAGCCCTTCTCACCCAAAGGCTTAAGTGTATTACATATGTATTCCCCAACTTTTAAATTACCAAACATAGATAGATTTCCTCCATAGACAAAGCCATTATTCTGACTTTTCTGGTAATAATTTCTTTGCTTTATTCAGAATTTCATAACCTGTCATATATTTATAGTTTGGGGAAAATGACCACAAATTTAGTGGCTTAAAATAACACCCCTTCATTATTTCACAGTTCTATTGACAAGAAGCAGGGCAAGATGTGCCTGAATTAGCTGTTCATGGTATATCACAAAGTTGAAATCAAGGTGCTGGCCAGGTTGAGTTCTGGTTCAGAAGCTCTAGGATAAAGTCTGCTTCCAAGATCCTGTAGATTATTGGTATTATCTAGTTCCTTGCTGGTTGTCAGCTGGAAGTAGATCTCAGCTCTGAGAAGCTGTTCTCAGGTCCTTTTCAGGCAACCTCCTCCATCTTCAAGCCAGCAACTGCTTGTGGAATTCTACTTATGTTTCACATTTTTCTGCCTTCCTTCCCTGCAACAAATCCTTTAAAATAAACTATGCTATTAAAGAGATAAATCCCTTTAAAAGAAACTATGCTATAAAAGAGATAATGTTATTAGATTAGGATTATGCAAATAATCTTCCTATTTTAGGGTCAACTCTGCCCTTTAGCATAATCTAATCACAAAAGTGTTATACATCATATTCAGAGTTCCAGGGAATATGCAGAATGGTGTATACCAAGTGGGGAGGAAAATCTTGTGGGCAGTCATAAAATTTTGCCTATCACATTGCTTATGTATTATTCTTCCCTAAATATTGCATAAAGTTTTCTGGTCTTGAGTTTTACATAAATTGTATCAAACTGAATTTATGCTGGTACTTATACATTTTTCCTGCAGTCTTAGGTTTGTGAGAATTCTTTTTGATACTGAAATTGCACTAGTTTATTAGCTATTGTTGCAATATAATACTCAATGGTATAAAAATATGAAAAACTAATTTGTCCTTTCTCCTAGTGATAAAAATCTGGTTTGATTCCAATTTGGAGCAATTAAGTATAAAGCTAACATAAGTATTCATGTATGCATATCTTGACATATATATATACCAGAGTTCTTTAAGAATATACATTTAGAAACAGTTTTTGGACCCCATTTTGTCACCTTTTCAAATTTCTTCATAATAACAAACCATTTTCAAAAGTGTTTCAGCCAATTAATACATCAAAAATCAGTTTATGAATTTCTGTGTTTTTACAACTCTGCCAACACGTGGTTGTGGTGGCCCTTCAAAAACAAAAATGTGTTTGCTAATTAGGTGAATATGTAAATGTATCTGTAATGGTCAATATCAAGTGTCAACTTGATTGGATTGAAAGAGGAAAAGTGTTGTTCCTGGGTGTGTCTGTGAGGGTGTTGCTAGAAGAGATTAACATTTGAGTCAGTGGACTGGGAGAGGCAGACCCACCCTCAATGTGGGCGGGCGTGATCCAATTGGTTACAGGTACAGCTAGCAGCAGGTGGAAGAAGGTGGTATAAGCTGGCTGGCTGAGTCTTCTGGCTTTCATCTTTCCCTGGTGATGGATGCTTCCTGCCCTTGAGCATTAGACTTCAGGTTCTTTAGCTTTTAACTATTGGACTTAGACCAGTGGCTTGCCATGGGCCACAAGCTGAAGGCTACACTATCGGCTTCCCTACTTTTGAGGTTTTGGGACTTGGACTGAGCCACTACTGGTTTCCTTGCTCCTCAGCTTGCAGATGGCCTATCGTGGGACTTCACCTCCTGATGATGTGAGTCAGTTCCCCCTAATAAACTCCCTTTCATATATATGTGTGTGTGTGTGTTTGTATATATATTTATGTGTGTGTATATATACACACACACACACACACATACATACATATGTATATGTATTCTATTGGTTTTGTCCCTCTCGAGAACCCTGACTCATACAGTATCTCATTATGGTTTGAATTCACTGTTCTATTATTAATAATGAGATTTTAAGTATCTTTAATTTTTTTGGTTATCTGTCTTTACTAATTTTGAAGTTCTTATATTTTACTTACTGATTTCTAAAATCTTTCACCTCCCCTACTGCACCCTTATCCCACTTATTCAAAATGCACATTGCAAAAATTTACTCAGGCTTGTCTTTAATGTTTTTCCTTTTTAAGTCCTAAATTTGCATGGAATATATGGATAGAGATAGTAATAGAAATTCAATTTCATGATGTTTTCCACATAGGATACCAGTTTTACTCAAATAGCAACATGAAAGGAAAGAGAGAAAAATATAAAAGCATCTTAAATAATTTCTATGACAAAAATAACAATAATCAAAACTAAATAAACCTTAGTAATGAAGTGTCATCCATATTATTGCAAATGAGATAAAAATGAGAGAGACATGTAAATATTGGGGTCAGAAAATTCATGTTACATGTATTTCAAGTGTGTAAAGCAAGGATTAGCAAACTGTGGCCTCTGTGTCAAATGTTTCTGTACGTAAGATTTTATTGGAACATAGTCACATCCATCTACTCTCCTGTTGTGTATAGTTACTTTTATGTTGCAATGACAGAGTTAGGTAGTTGTAACAGAGAATGCGTGGTTTCCAAAATCTAAAATATTTTCTATCTGCCACTTTACAAAAGAAGTTTGCCAATCCCTTGTCTAAAGAATAATGTAGAGTGCTATGAATAAGCACTACTTTTTGTGTATGAAATGTAAAATAAAAGATATTTTATATAAAAGTTAGTTATTTTGAAACATTTTATAGCCATAGGATAACTACTGAGCCTTTTACAGAATATGTATTACAAAGCCTGATTTATATACTTCTGCCATTTTTTATTGTTATGTAATAAAGTTACTCTTTAGTACCCACTAATTAAGCTTTAGGGTCAAAATCCATCCCTATTAGGTCTATATGGTGTTCCACAAGCTCACAGGGTGAGTCCCTCCTTTACTTGCTTATGCGTTTGCCTGTTACACCTATTTTTATTCATTCTAAAGGATAGATCCTCTCCTTAAAAGACCAGAAACCATGATACTTGATGTATAAAATCTTTTCTTTTTAACCGTCCTTTAATTATGTCATTTCCCAAGTAATACACTTTTTATGTTCATTCCACTAATTTTTTCTTGTAAAAGGTTCATCTTGAATTGTTCACATTTTCATCACTTATGTGCCTGTGGATTAAACATCATCTCAATAGATTATGTTAGGCAACTGATTACTAAGCAGTTATTCAATAAACATCTTTGTTAAAGGCATTATGTGAATAACTGGTCACCCTTTGTTAAAAGCATTATGTGAATAACTGGTTAAGCAAAAAATAGACTGTTACCTTTGTTAAAGTCATCTTTGTTAAGGGCATTATGCCAATAACCAGTCAAGCAAAAAAAAAAAAAAAAAAAATAGACTACTCTAATACTGGTTTCAAAACAGCCTGAATTTGCTCATGAGTGTTAACAGTTTCTTCGTAGTTTTCCCTGGGTAAAGACAGGAACAATTGAATGTAATTTGGATTCCCTAAACCCAGCTTGGCTTAACAACTTTTTATTTTATGCTTTTAATTGACATATAATAATTTTACATATTTATGGGGTACATAGTGATGTTTTAAAAAAATAATATATTATGATCAGATTATAGAAATTAGCATATCCATTTTCTCAAATATTTACCATGTTTTTGTATTAGGAACATTCAATATCTTCCTTGTAACTTTTTAAAAAAGGATTAGATCTATTATTACATATATTGTGTGATGGTTAATTTTATGTGTCAACTTGCCTGGGCTAAAGGATGTCCAGAAAGCTGGTAAAACATTATTTCTGGGTCTGTCTGTGGAGGTGTTTCCAGAAGACATTAGAATTTAAAGCAGTAGACTGAGTAAAGAAGATAACCCCAACCAATGTAAGCAGGAATCATCCAATCTCTCGAGAGCCTGGTAGAACATAAAAGGGAGAAGGTGAATTCTCTCTCCTTGAGCCTGGGACATCCATCTTCTCCTTCCCTTGGACATCAGAGCTCCTAGTTCTCACACCTTTGGACGCCAGCGCTTAGCTGTGTGACTCCCAGGTTCTCAGACTTCCAGCCTCAAACTGGGACTTAGATCATTGACTCTCCTGGTTCTCAGGCCTTTGAAGTTAAACTGAATTACAGCACTGGCTTACCTGCTTCTCCAGCTTGCAGGAAGCAAATCATGGCACTTCTCAGCCTTCATAATTGTTGAGTCAATTTGCATAATAAATCTCTCTATATATATCCTATTCTATTTCTTTAAAGAACCTTAATACATATTGCGAAGCAATTGACAAAGATAAATAACCTATAATTATATTTGTTTTTGGTGATGGTTTTGATGTGCCATTAATTTGGAAATCTCTTCTATTGAATCTTACCTCTTTCATATGAAAAATTGCCATAGGACATCTATGTTTGTTGTTTGTGAACAGGAAAATGTCAGTTCCTAAGGTGTTGGTGAACAAACTGACTAGACTTGTTCTCCAATACATTTTTAAGTGTCTGAATTAAATATGTTTCTTTTAAATTTATTTTTCTTTTATCTTTAGAGACATGGTCTCCCTCTGCCACCCAGGCTAGAGTGCAATGGCATGACCATAGCTCACTGCTACCTCAAACACCTGGGCTCAAGTGATCCCCCTGCCTCAGCCTCTCAAGTGGCTAGAACCACAGGCCTATGCCACCATGCCTGGATAATTTTTAAAATCAATTATCTGTAGAGATGTGGTCTCGCTATGTTGCTCAGGCTGATCTCCAACTTCTGGCCTCAAGCAATCCTCCTGCCTCAGCCTTCCAAAACACTGGGATTACAGACCTGAGCCACTATGCCTGGCCTAAATATGTTTTAATGAAATAATTATTTCCAAGCCCTTTTTATTTTACTATGTTCCCTTTATCTAAAGGTATATTACCAGGTATCATAAAATTATCATCTGGTATAAAAGTTATACTTGATGAATAGATTATCTCCATGGCTTTGTAACTGTAGATTAGTAGATGACCGTTTTTACAGCTTGTAAATCTCAAAAACTTCCATGAAGCCAATCTCTGTGGTAAGTGCTGCCTTTGCATGGTGTCTTTTAATCTTCATACCACCCTATGCCATCTGCATTACTCTTTTACCCATTTACTGCTAAGTAAACTCATAGAGGTTAAGTGATTATCTAACACCTACAGCTCACAGGTGGCAAAGCCCTCACCTGTGTCACGGATCACAGCCAGTCAGGCTGCAAAGCTAAGCACATATGGAAGAAACCCTGCTGTGGCCACACAGCATCCCTCACCATCCCACAAAATGGTAATGACTGAACAGTAATCACTGTTGGGATCATGTTGCTAAATATACTCTTTTGCTACAGAAATAAAACTGAAGCTTTTGAAATGAAAAAGGTAATTTTGTTACTAGTTAAAACATAGAATTTTCAACAACTCTTGTTTCTTTTTGGGCAGTGATTAACAACTGAATATTCAAGAGTTTCTAAGTCATTGAAAGAGTCTATAAGTATAATATAAAAATATTGTTTAAAATATAATATTCATATGTAACCATATCATTAGAGATAAACTTTTCAGAAACCTGTTTTTGAAAAATGACTCCCTCAGACAATGAAATAGAAATTTTTGCACATTAAAAAAATTTGATTAAAGTGAGAATAATTTTCAGTACTCATTAGAAGAAAGAATAAGTGTAGGCAGAGAGAAAAATATCTCATGTTGAAGAAGTGATAAAACGTGATCACATAAAAAGCTATTTGTTATTGCTTTTACTAAGTTATGAATTAATTTCTGTTTATATATTAATATATTTTATTTAAATTAAGTTTAAGTATTTGTTAATTTTGCTACAATATGTTAGGTAAGGGAATGAAGGAAGAAAGTTAACTTCCATCATAAAGAGAGAAGTATGCAAGGATAATGTGATATAATGTGATATACAATGTATAAAAGCGAAGAATCACTCTGTAGGTATTTGAATGATGTATATATGTTCAAAAAAAAAAAACTGGGTAGGCTGAAAAGTTAGTGCCTGTAGTGACTGATAGACAGGATCATTGAAAAACGAGTCAGTAAACATTGAAGGCAGCCGTGATCATTTCAGCATTTATGTTACTTTGATAAATAAGATCCTTTCTCAGTTGCTAATTTTTTCTTGCAAATTATTAAAATACCAATTTATAAAGTCTATAGTTACCACCAAAGTTCATTCAAACATATTTTTATAGACCATAATTTGTCAAAGTATAACCCAAGGAACTTTGTTCTGCCATATAATTTTAAAAATAAAAGCAAAACAAAAACCAAATATCTAGAATCATGTATATTTGAAAATGAAAAATATGTCTTTTATGGAATGTTATAAATTTCTTTAGCATAGCACCAATTAAAAAAGTTCTTCAGTAGTAAAATTCTTCCAAGCTTGTTAGAAAACTCATAAAGGAATGCAGAACATTTCTTTCCTCAGACTAGTGGAAAAAGAATACAGTATTCTGGAAATGAGCTTTCATATCTGCTTCCATTTCCCACTTGCAGATTCTCCATTTTGAATACACAGTTAAAATTCAGTTGCTTGTTTCAGTTTTGTTTTTCTCTATATCTTTAAAATGTGGAATCCGCTTCCTTCCTTCCTTCTTTCCAGACAAGGTCTTGCTATGTCACCCATACTGGTGTGCAGTGGTGAGGTCATAGTTCACTGCAGCCTTGAAATTCTGGCCTGAAGCAATCCCCCCATCTCAGCCTCCTGAGTAGCTGGGACCACAGAAGTGTGCCACCATGTCTGGCTAATTTTTAAAAATTTTTCTGGAGAGATAGTATCTCTTTATGTTGCCCAGGCTGGTTTCAAGTTCCTGGGCTCAAATGATTCTCCCACTTTGGCTTCCCAAAGTGCTAGGATTACCGTTGTGAGCTCCCGCACCTGGCCAAATGCAGAATTTTCTAACAAATAAGGCTATACCCTATTGTAAACATTGGCTTGACCACATGACAAATATATTTTATATATCAAGTTTTCGTTGTCATTAATTTCTACAAACTCCAATCACTACAAGACTTTACAGCACCTATCTCCTATTCCAATAAAAAAGTATTTATTCTTAGTGTTTGGAGAATACGTCTTTAGACATAGAAGGAAGGGAGGGAGAAAGGGAGGGAGGGAGGAAGGAGGGAAGGAAGAAAGGAAGGAAAAGGATTCCACATATTAAAGATATAGAGAAAAACAAAACTGAAACAAGCAACTAAATAACATGAAAAGTTATAAATTCCATGTCTAGAATTTAATGTACTAAAAATGTATTGTCAGAGATATCATTCTAGATCACATAATCTTCACTGAGCTGTGTGTTTTTAAAATCTTCATGATCATATAGTTATAGACTTGGGTTTCTTTCCAGTGAATGCCATACCATAAGAATGATCCATGCTGCTTTACATGTTCTCCTAGTTTTCGTCATTATTTTTTAAAACTTATTATTTTTGAAATGGGGTTTCACTGTGTTGCCAGGCTGGACTTAGGCTCTTGGGCTCAAGCCATCATCCTGTCTCAGCCTCCCTAGCAGCTGGGACTACAGATGTGCTTGGTCTCATATTGAATCCAACTGATGGCTAGACAGACACTAAGGGGATTTTTTTTGTGTGTGCACAGGATGATGGCTCTGTGTGACCATTCTGGAAAATGATACAGGTTCAGAAGTAAAATTACTTTGTCATAACACACACACACACACACACACACACACACACACTATATATATATATATATATATATATATATATATATATATATATATATATATATAATCTCCATTAACATAAAATTAGATCCCTAAATCCTAACATCTACATCAACACTTTGTTCTATCTGGCTTTGATTTTTATTTTTCCAATCTGTTAGTAGCAAACAATCTCATTTTGTTTTGTTACAGTCTCATTTAACTAGAAATAAGTCTAAAGCCTCTCCTACACATGTAGTTTTTCCAGTTGTTTCTCTGTTTAGTCCCTTCTATATTTTGCACATTTTTCCCTTAAATTCCATCATTTTTCTTATTGATTTGTTTAAATTTCTCAACTACATTATTCATTAAGCCCTTCTCAGTTTTTGATTTTACAAATTTCTGCTTTACGTATATAATTTTTCTAGTAATTTGAAAGAATTTTACTTGGTGTCATTTCTTTGCTTATAATCTTGGCCCTGTAACGGCATTACTTAAATAAGTCATTATCATCAATAGGCCACAGTATATTTTTCCTACTTTTTTCCCCCTATTGGCTATTTATTTATTTATTTATTTTTGAGACAAAGTCTCGCTCTCTGTCGCCCAGGCTGGAGTACAGTGGCATGTTCTTGGCTCATTGCAACCTCTACCTTCTGGGTTCAAGCGATTCTCCTGCCTTAGCCTCTCGAGCAGCTGGGACCACAGGTGCATGCCACCATGCCTGGCTAATTTTTGTATTTTTAGTAGAGAGGGTGGTTTCACTAAGTTGACCAGGCTGGTCTCAAACTCCTGACCTTGTGATCCACCCCCCTCAGACTCCCAAAGTGCTGGATTACAGGTGTGAGCCGCTGTGCCAGGCCAACTTTGTCGTTTTATCTTAAAGAAGCTTTGAATTCATCTGGCAGCCTCCCTGACATCCTCCTGGCCACCTAATAATGGAAATATCTACATTGAGTTTTCTCCATATTCAGGGCCACTTTTTAAAAACCTAATTTATTTAGCAAAGAGCCTTCTGGTCACTGATTTGTAAAGTCATTTCTATCATAGACACATGAATCTATTTCTGAGCTTTCTGTTTTTCTCTACTGTGTCATTTTTGTCTTCCCACTAAAGGATTGTATTTTAATACCTACAAGAGTACATTTTCTTAATTCATTCATCTTTTCATATACAACTTAGCTATTTGAGGCTCTTTACCCTTTCATACATTCTTGCTTTAGTAGAAAATTTCAAGTACATTTAAATTTGGATTGTATCTAATTTATAGATGAATTTGGGGTCAGAATATGAAGTAGTTCCACAATTGACTATAGTATAGCTCTGCGTATTTCAGATCTTATCATTTTGATTCTTTTATAGTTCCTACGTAGAAGATCATGTTATTTAAAAGCATTTGCGTATCTTTCCTTCGAGTTCCAACATATCTTATTGGTTTTTTGAACATAATATTTTATATGTTTCTAACTATCTGACCATTTTCATTAGTTTTCTGAGCTCCTTAAACTGATTTATTATTATTTAGTTCTAAATCTTAATGTATTGCTTTTGTTATATACTTTATTTGTTTCTCTCTCTCTCTCTTTCTCCCTTCCTTCTCAATGTTAGCATAACTTCACGGAACTTCATCTTTTAAAAGAATGAGGTTTTCAAAAAACGTGTAGTACAACAGTCAACCAAAACACTGACCTTTAATGCAGTGGACATAGGATCTATTACATCCAAGTATCTCAAAATTCTGCTGATAGTCCCATCTCCTGTGTTGTAATGTGTTTAACGGAATACAACCCTGACTCTATAGCAAAAGGCCCACCTGGAAAATAAATGGCCATTTGTGGCTCAAGTGTCTAGTTATAGAATAAGAGTTTGTAATTAATTTACATAATACCAAAGATTCTTGCTCTTATCCTTGTTTGACTGCTTTTTTTTTTTTTTTTTTTGAGGCAGGGTCTTACTCTGTCACCTAGGCTGGAGTGCAGTGGCACAATCTTGGCTCACTGTAACCTCTGCCTCCTGGGCTCAAGTGATCCTCCCACCTCAACCTCCCAGAGTAGCTGGGACTACAGATGTGTGCCACCACATTTGGCTAATTTTTTTGTATTTTTAGTGGAGAGGAGGTCTTGCCTTGGTGCCCAGGCTGGTCTCAAACTCCTGAGCTCAAGCTATCTGCCCACCTTGGCCTCCTAAAGTGCTGGGATTAGAGACGTGAGCTACCATGTACAGCTGACTTTACTCTTAGCACATCTAATATATAGTGGTATAGTATATTGTTTGCCATGGACCCCTGTAGTGATAAAGAAACGCTCTTATAGGAAACGTATGATGCTTAATTTGTAACATTATGTACCAAAGTGTTGCTGATACTTTGGTGAATGTTATTCTTTAAACTTAAAAACTGTAGGCAACATGGATCTTTAAATCAATGTAGAGATTAATATATGAAATAGTTTAGCTACAGTTGATAAATTTAAACATAGATTTTCCAGACGTATTTTTAAAAAATGTACTCAGCTTGTCCAGTAATATTATATGCCCTAAGAATTTCTAAATTTGTCTATATTGGCTTTCATCCTCGTCTGCTAAAGGTTGTGAAAGATATAGAAAGGCAATATTATTTTTCAGTTGTCTTCTACAGATTTTCTACTGTGGCTGGTCCTTTTCTGTGAGGTAGTTTTTTTTTGCGTTCAAATTTAGTGTATTATATTTTTATGTTCTCTTTGTTTTCATATTTGCTGCTCCTGCTGCTTTTGTGTTTCTGTGTTCTATGTGTACATATTCACCACTCTGCTTGGATAATTTTTTCCTTCTCGAGCGTATTTGTTATTTAAACTCCACTTTCTCCTGGTAGCCACGATCTCACTTTGGTTGGCAGCTGGGCTGTGCCTGGAGGTTATGTGCTCTGGACCTCGGTGCCCATCTCTCCAGGGCGGCTCTGCTTCTGTGATTTCCCCTCTGGTTTACATCCGGCTTGGCTGCTACAGAATTCTGCCTTCTGCTTGTTTGTTTTTAGGCTCACTGGATTTTACCCATAAATGTGATTTGTTTTTCTTTTCAAAGGGAATTTATCCTTTTTTTGTGTATTGTTACTGGGTCTGTACCTGTAGACAATCATTTTATAACTCCTGATGCTGTTTTATAAAGGATTTCAATACTATACAGCTGACTCTGAGCCTCTGTAAAAATTTCAGTTTTATATCATTTTATATTTTATTTCACTCCTTTTACGAACTTTATTATATTGATAATACTTCAATAGACTGAAAATCAGTATAAGAAATAGAGGATAAAAAAAGTGGCAAAATTATCATTGCCAAATTGATATTTATAAAGAGGTGAGCATTATTTCATGTAAAACCTTACAGTTTTAATTATTCATACAATTTTCCTTTACAAAAATTTAAATTGTTTTTATTCAACATTGTTTTTATCATGATCATTTTATTCATAGTTAAAAATCAAGTAATTCTATAAATTTACCATTAAAACTGTACTCTCTATCCCCCATCATTCAAATTATCAGAGGCTATGGTATTAAATATATATGTGTATGTACATAAATAAAATAAAGTATATAAATATTTAAACATGTATAATATAAAATAAGTATACTTTAAACAATATGAATATTTCTACAGAAAACTTCGAATTTATACAATGTATATTGGATAAAAACCATTAGGATTTAGATCTTATACAGAAATCTCTTTCATATAATCTGTTTTATCAAGCTGATTATATACTATACAATTCTCTTTTTTAATAGGTAGATAGCTGGACAGAGATACAGATTACAGTTAGCTATATAATTATTAAATATTTGAAAGATTAGAATTATATAAACTATATTGTCATTTAAACCATGCAATATTTATATTTCTTTTTCATTACAACTTTTTGGTCTTTTTCTGCATTTAATTATTGTCTCAATTATTTTATTTTGTTTAATATATGGCTTTCACCATTTCACAGCCAACATCTCTAACTGAAATCTAAAATCCCTTACACTATTGCCTTACACCTCTATTAATCTAATGCAATTGTCTGTAAATTTTTCCAAATTTATAGCATCATTGGCCTTTTTAGCATAGTAATAGATGTCATTGGATATACATTTTCATTGAATGGGGTATTGGCTACTTTTTGAAGATGTTTACCTATATTTGAAGAATCAATTATTATTTAAACATGAAGATTATTGTTTTAAAAAGTGGAAATCATTTTGGTTGAATCATCTAGTCACCCTTAACTAGAAATTATGACTTATTTGCAGGTTTACCTACTTTGTTATTTCTAGATCCAAAAATAAAGATCAAAACTTGATACCATCTATTCTTTAGGACAGATACATTGGGCAAATGTCACATCTGAACATTGTTTCATAAGCAAAATGCAAAGCCAAAACTTTTCTAATTTTAGAACATCCAAAATGTTTTTGTCATCTTAATTTGTCCTGAAATATCCTAGGCTTCCAATCAATAGAGAGGAGAGTAATTTTTTGATAAATTTTATGTGACAGAATTTTATGTAATTTAAATACAGGAGAATTTTTTTTAGGTAATCATATTTTAGCAAATGAAAAACTCCAAGAAATATTAGTATGAACATGCTTTTTCAAATTATGATTTTAAATATTTTTATTGATTTATCTCCATGTTTTTAAATACATTTATATCAAATTATTCAGGAACAAATTTCAGGTTCTAAAACCTTCTATTTGTCTCAATTATAAATGTAGAAATAAAGATATCTGAAACAAGAAATGGACATATGAAGGTACATTGGTTATAAAGATTTTTTGATTTAAGTTTTTAAGCAAGTTCGGAATGATGAAGATGCAATATAGAAATATGGTAGGCATGTATTCACAAGCTAACTTTAACCTCTCCTTATTGACTTCACTAGCAACTATATTAAGTGTAGATATTTTCATAAAATGGTGAAATTTCCAGATTTTACAGAGCACAACATACTTCTAAATTCTGAACAGATGAATATTATTCTACACTGTGCTTGTTTTCTAAAAATATATTCTTTATTCTCCTTATTATTCATTGATATCCTGTTAATTAATTGATTATAATTTGTTAACTGGCTAACCCTCAATATATAACTCCAGGTTCTAAGTTTTGGCCATGAGAACTCTAGGAATCAATCAATGGGTACTGAACAATTTTTGATTTCCTAAAACAATGAAATATTTCGTATATTTATGAGTAGAATCAGGGCTTTCGTCAGATTTTTGTAGGTGTCTCTACGTGAAATGGTAAAAAGTTGTGTAAAGGAGAGAGGAAGAGGGAGACAGTAAGACAAAAAGAGAAGGATCACTATATATTTTTCATATTGCTAAATAAATTCTTTGCTGCATAATTTTTTTTTTTTTTTGAGACGGAGTCTCCCTCTGTCGCCCAAACTGGAGTGCAGTGGTGCAATCTCGGCTCACTGCAACCTCCACCTCCTGGTTTCAAGCAATTCTCCTGCCTCAGCCTCACGAGTAGCTGGGATTACAGGCACGCACCACCATGCCTGGCTAATTTTTTGTATTTTTAATAGAGATGGGGTTTCATCATGCTGGCCAGGCTGGTCTCAAACTCCTGACCTTGTGATCCACCCACCCTGGCATCCCAAAGTGCTGGGATTACAGGTGTAAACCACCATGCTGGGCCAAAATTAAGTATATGTATATTTTTAAGTATTTTATTCACACTAATGCCTCATTAATTTGCGAGTAAGAAAAAGCTGCTTCTAGCAACCTCCATATTTACACTTTGACGGTAATCTGGGGAAACGTTTTTTGTTTTCAGCTGCTAATGCATTTGCTTTCTGGACAAAACCACTCAATAAAGAAAGTGTCAGGAGTAGAAAATTCACTGTGGAGTCCAGCTCACTGCAGTCTGCACTGGTCTGGACTGGAATATGTAATTCAGCATTGTATTTAGAAGATTGTAGAAGTATTTCGTTTGGCCAACTTTGTGTCTTTTAAGACTTGGTACTTGTGTAAATGACATATAACATAGACATAGTGAAACATGACAAATCCACATGAATAGTTTTTCCCAAAGTTTTAAATCTGTGTTATAGTTACACATAAAGGACATTGGGAAAATAGAGAGTCTGAGAAATGAAACCTTTCAAAATTTGAAAAGTTTACCTTTCTTAATGAAGAAAGTGGTTTTACTTCCATTAATTTATGAGCCTGTCTTCAGCTTCCCCTTTTTGAAGTATTTGAAATGGGCAAGAATTATACATTTCTCATTTAACAGTTTCCATTTTGTAAAGTGAGTCACTGCATTAATGGATGTACAACATTAATGGATGAATCTTTATTTGTAGTAAATTTTGATCTTATAAAATCTTCCCTGGATATTTGACATCTTGGTAATATTAAAACCTTAACTTAATGAAATATGCTGTCAATAGGCATAACATACATGGAAAAGTGAATAAAAATGCTAACTTAAATATGCTGTTTTAAAAAAACAAAAAAAATGCTGTTTTGTACTGATCTCAAGATTAGCAATCCCATTTAGGACTGATGTGGAACAATCTATGCACAATTTGTCTTTACTTACAAAAGTCTTTTTAGTTTTCAAAAATGATTTACTATGTTATTTTTATTTTATGGTCCTGAAATACCTAGAAATGCTGGAATTGAGCATTCTTATATCTACAAATATCTGTGTTTATTGAAGATGTTTTATATTCTTTGATAACAGTAATTTTTGTATTTATATGGTCCCTTATATATTGCTGAGCAAATAATTGATTCATAATGTTTTTAATTTTTATGATTTCCAATTTATTTAAAATAACTTGCTTGTGAAAAAAAGAAAGTATATGAGAAAATAATAAAAAGTTGGGGAAAAATAAGCTTTTTGCTTTATCCAAATGAGAAAAATACTTATTTTTGTCATGGAATGGGAATAAATGAGGAAAATTAACATTTACATTAAAATATCTGAAGCATTGTTATTTAAGAATTGCCCACCCCCCTTTTGTTCCCTAGGAAGTAACATCAGTTGGGCATTAAAAAAAAAACTAGAATGACTATCATCAGTTGTGTTGTGTGGTTGTTGGTTAGTTCTATATAAAGAAAAATAAATGTGCACAGAAGGATTGGGAACAATTTTTAACAGGGTGGTTAGGGAAGGCCATACTAAGATGATTTTTAAAGAAAACAAGGAAACATCTTTAGGAAGATCATCATTCTAGCCAGTGCTATCTTTTGAGGATGGAGAATATGTGATAATATTAAGGAATACTAAGGAATCAGAAGTAATTAAAACGAAATGAATAGAAGCAATAGTAGGATACTAGATCCAAGTAGATACAATTATTTTTGTCCTATAGGTTATTGTAATGCTATTAGCTTTTGCTCTGATAAAGAGGAAAAGCCATTTGTGGTTTTGGGTTAACAGCTGTGATTATGATCTGCTTTTTGTTTTAGCAAGGTAGCATTAGTTTCACTGGCAAGGACAGATACAGGGAAACCAGTTGGGAGGCTATTGTGATAAGTTGGTTAGAGAGACATTGGTGTTATTTTCTAGAATGGTAGTACTAGAGGTGGTGAAATAATCAGATTATAGACTAAAAATATGTTTTGATGCTACAACCGAGACAATTTACTGATTATTTGGATATAGGGTAATTCCGAAAATTTTATCCTAAGCAACCATGATGATGAAGTTGATACTAACTGAGATGATGAAGACTATGGAAAGCAGAGGCCTGGGTAGTGGGCACATGGAAGGAACAGTAAGATTTTGATTTTAGCCATGTTACGTATGAAATACATATATATTCATGTGGGGATGTCACTTAAGCAGTTGGGTAAACTCATCTGGACTTGATGAAAGGCACCAGATATTTTCATTTAAGAGTTCTCAGCAATGATTTGAATGAGTTTGCCAAGGGAATAACCAAAGATACAGTTTACAAAGAGGGACAAGAATGAGCCACAACATTGTCCATTGTTAACATCCCAGAAAGAGGAAGAGAACCTTAGAAATAATCAGAGGAGAAATGAGTTGTGAGATACGGGGTAAGCCAGGTGAGGATAGCATCCTAGAAAGCAAATGAAGTTTTTTCAAGGATCAGGGAATAATCAGCTTTATTAAATACTGCTCAGTGGTCAAACAATGTAAGGATTGATAATTGATTATTGGATTAGCAAAGTGGATGTCATTAGTGACTTTGAAAAAGGTAGTTTCAGAGTAGTGATTTGGAAAGAAGCTAGCCTGAAATGAGTTTAAGAGAAGAGAAAGGGAAACAGTGAATACAACAAATATAAACAACATTGATAGGACTTCTGCTATAAAAAAGGGGGGCTAATAAACCTAGTGGGGAATGTGGTGTGGGGAAGAAAGAGGGAGAGTTTTGTAGCGTTTGTTTTTGATCAAACAAACAAAACCATGTTGTGTGCTGATAGAAATTATTCAATAGACAAGGGGGTGGGAGATGATCAAGCGAGAAAGTACAATTCCCAGAGCAATATACTCTCAGCACCAGAAGAGAGGAGTTACAGAGTAAATGTGGAGAAATTGGCTATTTTTGGAATTCTGGACAGTCTAGCTACAGAAAGAAGGGGAGTATATAGCACAGGTGCAGGTAGGTGAGTATATTAAATGAGATAACTTTGTAGAAGTTTTCTTCTGATTTCTCTTGTTTTCTCAATGAAATAGGCAAGATCTCTAGTTGATAATGAAGATGGGAGAAGAGGTTTTGAAAATGTAAACGTGATTAGATCAGGGAAATGTATCTGTGAAGCATCCAGGGCTCACTTAAGGGTGGTGGTAATGAATCCAAACTTTATCTTTAACTGAATGTTTTTCTGAGACTGAGTCTATGACAGGCCATGGAAGTTAATTTGTTAATAGACAGGGAGATATGCAGTAATTTGGACTGTGAAAAATTGGTAGATTAATAAGATTCTTGATTCTGGAGTAAAGTTGCCAGATAAAATATGAGATGCCTAGTTAAATCTGAATTTCAGATAAACAATGGCATTTAAAATAAATATGCCCCAAATATTGCATGGGGTATACTTATACTAAAAATATCTGATGTCTATTTGAAATTCAAATTTACCTGGTGGTTTTGTTTTTGGTTTTGTTGTTGTTTTATTTTTTCTGCATCTGACAATTCCATTCCAGAGAAGTTAAATGATTTTGGAATATGGGATGCATGACATGAAACATAAGAAGTGATAGCTTGTGTAATAATTAATATTGAGTCAATAGAGCAGTTATAGTTATCTGTAGTGAGACCAATTGATTGTGATTGGCCAGTGGAATATGGAAAACAGATTTATCACAGGAGAAACCGTCAAGGACTTGAGATTACTTACTATTTGAAGGATTATTAACAAAGTTGTTCAAATCACCAGAAATTAAGATGGAGGTGAAGACACATGTTAAGAATACTAAAGAAATTTTAGCAAAACCTTAATGAGCCTTAGAGAAGGCAAATGGACCAAGAGACAAAAGTAAAAGTCTATGATGATAAAACTGGAAAGAAAAGAAGGGTTGAAATTAGAAAAGGCATAAAACATACTAGGACTAATCAAGCAGAGGTAATTACTGCCAGTAGTTCACCACCTATGGTAGAAATATAAAGTCAAAACTGTGACTGTCGTCATGAGTTGGATATTTTTCTCACAGTTATACATTATTTATATTAAAAGTTAATATTTCTTTTATAATAAAATGCACAATTATAAACAAAGAATTTTAATTGAATATTTTTACCATTTTTTTATGATTAGTAATTGACAAGTACATTTTCCTTCTATAAAAGTCTGATATGTGACATCAAGCAATATAGTTAAGAATTAAAGCAAGTTTTATTTTTACAGTGAAATATATGAATATATGCAATGCCTATGTTTACATTAAAATTGTAAATATTTCTAAAATAGTATATTTTATGACTAAAATCTTGTTTGTAAGAAATCATACATGTGTGTTTTGTTTGTATGTGTGTGTATGGATATACCATAAAATTGAGTGCATGGTGTTTTTGAACCAGGGAAATGGATGTTGCTATAGTACCCTAAAGTGGGAGACCCCATAATGCTAGGTTAGTATATAGTATCAATACTCCATTTATATTTTTCCTCAGTATCAAGGCTCACAAATGATATTCCCAATCTTGAGCTTCTAAATAGCTGTAGATTTCTCTGGTTAGATTTTTCTGAGTAAAGATAATATAAAACATATAAAAAGGAAAATAAGTATAAAGTTTATACTTAGTGTATTGACCTAACGTTATTCTAGAACAAATGAATGTGTTTTATAAACAGCTGAAAAGGAGTCTTGGAAACATACACTAAATTACTGCAATTAGAGAGAGTGGTTGTTACTTGTGGTGAGACTGAAGTACACACACCTTCCATGTAAGATTGTTAATTGCAGGTAATTTGTTGTAAACAATAACGAGAGCACTAAACTTTGAATCTGGAGGCTGGATTTAATTGTGTTTTGCTACTAATTAGCTGTATATTTTGGGGAAAGTTTTGTATCTTTTCTGGATGCATGTGACCTGATATTAAAAATGAGTTGAAGGGCTAAGAGTCATTTTTAATTTTAAAAGGCTTAGCTTATATAGAAGTATTTATGTAAAAAGAATTGTTTATACTTCCATTTTCAGCTCCAACATGTAAATAGCTTGGAAGTCATAACTTCCATTCTTACAAAAAAAGCTGTACAAATGAAAAATCAGTGACTGTTTTTGGATCCATTAGGTGAAAAACAGGGTAAAGTAAAACGCCACATTGGTATGTAGAAATTGGTAGTTAGTGGGACAGTTGTATTTTAAAAGTGTTGATGGTGGATGATATGGTTTGGCTGTGTCCCCACCTAAATCTCAACTTGAATTGTATCTCCCAGCATTCCCATGTGTTGTGGGAGGAACCTAGGGGGAGGTAATTGAATCATGGGAGCCAGTCTTTTCCGTGCTATTCTTGTGACGTGAAAAAGTCTCACGAGATCTGATGGGTTTATCAGGGGTTTATGCTTTTGCTTCTTGGGATGACTCTTTAAAAAATAATGTGATGCTTTGTATAATGCTTCCTGGTACTCAGACCTGAGAGAATTTGCTCTTATTTGTCATAATAAAACAAATATTGAGTAATATAGATAACTTGATCATCTATTTTATCTCTTGAGTAATTAAAAATACATATGGTTGTTCTTAAGATCATAGTGTTTAGGTGGAAAGATAACGCCTGGATGTTTTCAGTAAAAGCACTTTCTCAGCCAAAATACAAAAATTTGCTTGGTAGTCTAGTATAACTCAAGAACAATTTTTAGAAAGTAAAGATTTATGGATATTAGACATTCTATATACATATTTTATTTGAATGAAGCTTTTGGAGTAAGGACATTATATGAAAATTTTTGGTAAATCCAGACCCTCATATTTCACAAATAGCCTGTTGGTGGGAGGTGGTGGTTGCAGGTAGAATGAACAGACTCATAGGAAAATTGGGCAGGCTAATGACTGCATATTACTAGCAAGAAGTTTATAATAAGCCACACTATTTTTATTCCCAATTGTCTCAATGTAGAAGTCTCATCTTCCAATTAAATGATAGATTGGGTAAGAAAATGGTATTAATGAAATGTAGTATATATACAATGTAGGTATATATACTTTAATAGAGTATATATAAAATAAAGTATATATGTACATACTTTATTACCATATATATAGTAAAAAAAAAAAAAAGGCATTAATACAATGATCTCTCTTCCTCCCTTTCTTCTGTCCTTCCTACCTCCTCTTTCACCTCCCTCCCTTACATCTTCCTTTCTGGCTTTCCTTCCTCTCTCTCTTCCTGAACAATGTTTCTGCCTGCTACATATGAAGCATTGCTTTTGGAACTTGGTCTGCTTCTAAGAAACTGTGATTGTTTCTCTATTTGTTAGAAAAGTCTGAACGATGAGAAATAAATTATATAAATATTTTAATTCCCCTTCACAGGCATTTATAAATATTTGTCAGCACTTTGAAGCAATTATTCTTTTAATTTAAAAAATAATTTTAGAAATTTACAGAAAAAATCACAAAGATGGTACATTGAGTTATCATGCCCCTTATGCCCATTTTCTCTTATTATTAACATCTTACATTAAGATGGTACATTTGTTACAAGTCATGAACTTTCATTGTCACATTGCTTTAAAATAAAGTCTGTACTTTATGAAGATTTGTTTAGTTTTTACCTAATGTCCTCCTTCTGTCCCGGGATTCCATCCAAGATACCACATTACATTTAATTGTCATGTCTCATGAGGCTGCTCTATAGAGTGACAGTTTCTTAGACATTCATATTTTTGATGCCATTGACATTTTTGTGAAGTGATGGTCATATATTTTATAGAGTATCTCTCTTTTGGAATTCATCTGGTGTTTTTCTCATAATTAGATTGAGGTTATGGGTTTTTGAGAGGTAAAAGTGGTAAAGTTTCATTTTTATCATATCATAGGAGTATTTATTATCAACATGCATTATGGTTGTTCATGTTGACCTTGATTAATAACTGAGACAGTGTTTGTAAGTTTCTCCACTGTCAGGTTATTCTATTTTTCTCTTTTGTATGTTATACTTTTGGAAGAAAGTCACTATGTACAACCCACTTTTAAGGAGATGGTGGTTATGCTTCATCTTTCTGAGGGTGGAATGTGTGCATATATTAGTTGAAATTCTTACACATGGGAGATTTGTTAGCTATCTGTCTATGCGTCATCTATCTACTTATTCATTCATGAATTTGTCCATTCATTCATTCATCTTATCATTATAAGCTCATGGATATTTAGCTTATAGTTTTGGTTACAATGTGCCACAAACCGAACCTTTGTGTCCTCTCAAAATTCATACACTGAAACCCTAATCTCCCACGTGTGAAGGTATTAGAAAGTGGGGCCTTGGAAAATGATGAGGTCATGAGGCTGGAGCCCACCTAATGGAATTAATGCCCTCATAGAAGAGGCCCTAAGAGAGTTGCCTTATCCCCTTCTTTTATGTGAGGTTAAGGCTAGAACTCTCTGTACAATGTTAAATAGTAATAAGAGAGGACATGCAGGCTTTGGTCTTGATCTTAGAGGAAAAGATTCCCATTTCTCATGATTAAATATTATGTAGGTTAGGGTTTTCTTTATCAAGGTAATAAAATTTCCCCAACAAAGTATTTATAGGTTTTTTTATTTACCATAAATAACTCTGGGATTTTTTCAAATGTTTTTCTTCTGCATTAATAATGTTTGTTAATTATTATTATTATTAATAAGAGGTGGATCTGACTCACTATGTTGCCCAGGCTGGTCTCCAACACCTGCACTCCTGCCTCAGCCTTCCAAGTAGCTGGGACTATAAGCACATGCCACCATGCCCAGCAATGATTAAAGTAAAATGATTATAAGATTTATTTTCTTTTTACTCAGTTGACAAGGTAGATTGTATTTATTGATTTTCAAATGTTGAATCTGCCTTGTAGGCCTGGAAAAGTGCCCACTTGGTTGTAATATATAATCATTTAATGCACTGTTACATGTGATTCGCTAATGTTATCAGTCTGTAGTTTTCCTGTGATGTCTTTTCTGTATTTTGGAGGGTTTTGTAAAGAATTTGTATTAATTATTCTTCAGTAGTTTAGTAGAATTCATCAGGGAAACCATTTGGTTTGGGATTTTCTTTGTGTAACGTTTTTGATTATTAATTCAACCTCATTACTTGTTAAAGCTCTACTCTGATTTTCAGTTTCTTGTTGAGTCAGTTTGAGTAGTTTGTGCCTTTTAGGAATTTGTCCATTTCATCAAACTTATATAACTTGTTGGCATGCAGTTATTTGTAGTATTACATTACAATTCTTTTTATATTTACATAAGCTCTGCAGTAATATATTTACTTTCTTTCCTGACTTTGATAATTTGGTTATTTCTTATTTATTGAGTAGTTCAGCTAAGTTTTTTTCTGAATTTTATTGAGTTTTTCAAAGAATTGACCAACTTTTGGCTTTGTTGATTTTTGTAGTTTGTTCCTGATCTCTATGTTATTGATTGCCACTGTAATCCTCTTAATTCTTTCTCTTCTGCTTACTTTGGGTTTAATTTTCATATATAGATTGTGTTTGTTTTGGTGTCACTATCAAGAAATACCTGTCTTTAAGAAATCTGCCTAATATTTGAGCCTAAGTTTTCACAAGAGTAAGTAAAGATTCTTCAGTTTTCCTTCAAAGCTATTTTTTGTTTTGTTTTGATTTTAAATGGAAAGCTGAGCTATGAATAGGCACCTAGAAAAAATGCTAACAGTCAGGTGGACTTTATGGTTAATAGTAAGTTTTTAATGAATAATTATGTAATGAATGAATGCAATAATATATTACTTCCAGCTAAAATCTAGAAAAAAGTTCCTGAGGTTCAGCGAGGTTCTCTGATATTCATATAGCTTTCCAATATGCAATCAAGTTTTCTTATTATACATGAATGTACTTCTCATTACCTTACCTTCGTGGTAGCAGTGACTTGAGGCCTTAATAGATGAAAGCAAACAGTTCGATATACTTCAACAATCTCTAACTCTGAAGCCATTATTATTAATACTAAAATATTATTTCACATCTATGAAGTTTATTTATGAAGATCATTTAAATTTACAATGTTTGCTTTATAAAAAAGCAAAGATTCATAATAAAAATTTAAGATTCTCATTAGCTATCTGATAAACAGAAAATATAATCGGGAAGTATCCCTTAGCACTTTTGATGGCTAATTTTTTGTTAATAATTTGTCAACCTGTGATTAAATAAAAAATGATAGCTCTTCAAAACATACACAGATAATAGACATTTACAAACTAAAATTTCAGTCCCTAAATTTTATAAGTTCTTATTTTTGTATAAAATCAGAGAAAAATGCACAAATTCTAATTGTACAGCTCAATTAATTACCATAAGAAAACACACACTTGACCGGGTGTGGTGGCTCACGCCTGTAATCCCAGCACTTTGGGAGGCTGAGGCGGGCAGATCACGAGGTCAGGAGATCGAGACCATCCTGGCTAACACAGTGAAACCCCATCTCTACTAAAAATACAAAAAATTAGCCAGGCGTGGTGGTGGGCGCCTGTAGTCCTAGCTATTAGGGACGCTGAGGCAGGAGAATGGCTGAACCTGGGAGATGGAACTTGCAGTGAGCTGAGATCGTGCCACTGCATTCCAGCCTCGGTGACAGAGTGAGACTCTTTCCCAAAAAAAAAAGAAAACACACACTTGGGGTGGGCACTCTTGTTAAGATGTAGGATAGGAAAAGCTCATAATGCCTGGTTCCTCCAAACCATAACAGGCTCCCCTTCCCAGAAGTAACAACAATACTGAGTTCCAACCTTACAGATTTTTTTCCTAAGTTTTTAACATAATACAAATAGAACCATACTAAATGTCTTATTTTCATTCTGGCTTTTTTGTACAACATAATTATGAGATTGGTGCATGAGATAGAGATATATATATATATATATATATATGGGTAATATTTAGAAAGATTGGTGCATGAAATACATATATATAATATGATATGCACCAATCTCTCTCTAAATATATATATGTATATTCTAAATATATATACACACATAATGGCATATATATATCTTATTTCAATATTTTAAAATGTCATTGGTATGCCTATTAGTTGGGGTTCTGCAGAGATTTTATATATGTGTATATGTAGAGAGATATATACACACATACATATATATATACTCTGTGTGCATACTCTGTGTGTCTTTATGTGTGTGTGTATATATACATATATTTTAAAAGGGATTTGTTATAAGGAGTTGGCTTACACAATAATTATGGAGGCTAGAAAATCCTGAGATATACAGGTTGAGTGGGTAAACTGAAGAGCCAATGGTGTAATTTCAGTGAAAGGCCACATAGTTCAAGATCCAGGAGGAGCGAATGTTTAAATTTGGGTCCGAAGGCAAAGAAAATTAATGCTTCAAAAGGGCATCAGGCAGAAAACAGTCTCTCTATTTGGGGGAGAGTCAGGCCTTTGTTCTATTCTGATGTACAAATGATTGGATGTGGCCTACTCATATTAGGAAGGGCAATCTGCTTTACTTAATCCATTTTATAATTTAAATGTGAATCTCAAACAAAGTACCCTCACAGAAACACCCAGAATAATCTTTGACCAAATATCTGGGCATCTGGTGGTTCAGTAAAGTTAATATATAATACTAACCATCACAGTATGTATTATTACTGTGATGTATTATAGTTATCACTATATACAATGTATTACATGGTTTATAGTTCAAGCGTTTTATCCCTTCCAATGTTGAGATGCATATAGCTTTTTCCTTCTGGAATTAATTCCAAAAAAATTAAGGAATAGTATACATATCTTTGGGTACACTAGGTTTTGCAACAACCTTCTTTTCCCCTGCTGTCTTTCAAAGTTATCTTCATAATAAATCAAATGTCTGCACACATGTAGACTTAAAAAAAATTTTTTTTTTGCTGGCTCTATCCTGAAATGTTCTATTCTTTTGCTGATACCCCACTGTGTCAAATATTGTAGTTTATAATATCCTTGGTATTTGATAGAGTAAACACCTGCATTTTTCTTCTTCAGTATTGTGTTGATTAATCTTAGTTCTTTGCATTTCATTATATTTAAAATCAGCCTGATGATTTACACAAAAACGAAAACTATTTTATTGATATTTTATTGTTTCAACAGTTTGAAGAGAATTTACATCTTTAAAATATATCCTATAAGTTCTATCAATATACTTTTGTAGTTGTGCATTGCTTAATATCCAAATGTTTGAATATACACAAATTGTCTTTGTATTATTTATTCTTAGCTTGATTTTGCTGTGTTCTGGTAATATGATCTAAATGTCTAATAACTATAAAATGACTAATTTATTTGCCTTTAAACTACTTTTCTGTCTATTCGACCCAATCATGGTTTGTATGTTGTGCTTTCTTCATTTCTTGATCTTTTATTAGATTATTAGAGTACCTTTATCATTTTATTTTCCCTATTACTATTTGTTTAATTATTGGGGGAGGGTGCTATCCTAGAGATTGTAGAATGTAAGCCTGACTTAATAAAGTCTAAAATTAATCTGTGCTTTAACAGCTTATCAGGCAGTTCTTTTTCCATCTTTTACACTCAACATGCCATATTACAGTCATGGTCATATATTTTTATGTTGTATGCATTTTAAACTTAACAATGTATTTTAATTATGTTTACTACATCAATGTCTATTTACATATATAAACATATTTATCTTTTATATTGTTCTTTTTACCTATCTGAGTTTTCATTTTTCTACCTGGGATACATTTTATCAGTCTGAATATTCCCATTTTTTTAGCTCTACTCTGACAAATTATGTTATTATTTATCCTAATTTATCTTTATGTTGTCTTCATTTTTAATGTATATTTTTCCTGTGAACAGACTTCTCAGCTGGCAGTCAATTTAGCTCAACAGTTTAAATATATTGCCTCCTTGTCTTCTTTTATATAAAATTTTTATATACTCTGTAATAAATAAGCTATCTGTGAAGTTGCTTTTTTGCATTATGATATCACTTTTTTATGAATTAAATATTTTTTGTCTCTTTTTTCCAGCATTTTAACATTTGATATGCCTAGATGGTTTTTTACTTTACTTTTTTAAAAAAGCTTTGCTTTAGGTTTATATTGCTTTCTGCATTTGTGATTTAGATGATTTTATCACATGAAAATAATCGTCAGAATTCTTGCTTGGTTAGTTCTCAACAACTCCTCTTATTTCATAATCAGCAAAACCTGTGGCAAAGTGGATCTTAATAATTTTAATCTTAAAGCCTCTGGCATTTCTTTCATAGATAAAAGCTCTGCTGTCCTTCTCTAACTTGATTTTCTTCCACATTTATGTTCAGATTTTTAAGTTTATTCTGAGGTTGAGAGATAATCCAAAACAATGAAAGCTGTTATTTCTAGAACAATAATACAAATAAAGTTTTAGAGATAATCAATAGTAATTTTTTTCTAAAATATCCTAGAATCTCAAAAAGTTCAATACATAAGTTACTAAAGCATAATTATTCTGAATAATTGTTGTAAAGTAACACCTGGCTTTAAAAGAAAATCTGCTTACAAATATGCCTATTATTTTCTTAAATATAGAATTATGGCGAGAATTATGGTTACCAATTCGACTATGAGAAGCTTCATAATATAGTATCTTCATAAAAACGCACACACAAAAATGTTTGGAATGTAAGGAATTCCCTTTATAGTTATTAGCCTAATATAGTTTGCATCTATTGTGTATTAGTGTATACTAGATAAGGTAGCATAGTATATATAAATATACAGTTAATAGCATATATAATTTGAAGGATGAATTTGTGATAAAATATATAGCTATTTACTCTTTCATATATATTTCAAGTAACTTCATCGGGATCCTAAAACAAATTACAGTTGTTAACATTTGAGAAGGATGACGTTGCTCTTACTGATCAATTTTGTGAGACTAATATTATTTAATAAAATTTGTTCCGTTGAGGAATGTTAATGTGCGTGCCCTCAATGTAGAAGCATTAAGAACTTTCTTGTGGTGGTGCTTTTTTTTTTTTGAGACAGGGTCTCGCCCTGTTGCCCAGGCTGGAGTGCAATGATGTGATCTCAGCTCACGGCAACCTCCGCCTCCCAGGTTCAAGCGATTCTCCTGCCTCAGCCTCCTGAATAGCTGGGACTACAGGCACCCGCCACCACGCCTGACTATCACGGTGCTTTTAATCAATAAAGGACTGTAGTTGATGAACATATTTTTTAGTTCCTTTACACCTTGGGTGGGATAACCTAAGGTGTAAGGGAACTAAAGACATGCGGTACATGTCTTAAACTGTCTTCCAATGGCACCTTTCTTCAGAATATCTCTCTAGGAACTTGTTTTGCTTCACTTTCTCATTTCCTCACTTCCCTGTTAAAGTTTCCACGGATCCCATTCCAAACGAAACACACGTGAAGTCCAACCCTGTTTTCAGAGTCTACCCAAATTGACAGAACGGCCTTTCTTGTTCCCTTTGTTTATTCAGCATTATCTTCCTAATCCTCAGGCACTGGCTTCCCGAATGTGTCATTCCTCTCAATATGCCTTTCACTTGGGTCATTCTTTATGTCGTCCCATCCTGTGCCATGACTTTATCCCTTTTCTGTTGAGACTCTAATTTACATCTTCCGTCTCTTCCCCTCTCTCGGAACCCTAGACACACGCATCTACTGCTCACTCACCATTTCCATTTGCAAACCTAAAAAAATTATTCAACTTACTGTGTCCAAATTTAAGCCTTACTTCCTCTATCACCCACTTATCCTTCTGGGTCCTAATTTTTTTCTTTTCTGGGTAATGTCAACTACATTTTTGTGGCTTATTCATTACAAATTATTTAGAGCCATTATTTACTCCTGTCTTTCAAAAAAATGTTTGGCTGAGCTGATAGGGTCATCTCTGCTTTTGAAATGCAGATGAAATCTGACCACTTATTTTATACTTCTGCCCTTGTCAAAACTACCATATTTAGATTCCAATATATTTTTCTTATTTCCTGCCTTGCCACTCTAGGACAGATACAGTCATCTTGTAAAAATTATGTCAGACCATGGTACTTTTCTGTTCAAAACTCCATGGACTCTTTGTCACTCATGTTAAGATATAAATATCCTACTTTGGTTTATATTTCTTGACATGATCTGGCCTCTCCACCCACTTTGAACATCTTCTGTCACTGGCCTCGTCACTCACTCCATGCAAGCCTGTGGCCTTCCCATGGTGTCTGCAGCACATCAATACTGCTCTTTCCTCTAAGCAATTGCTTTTGCTTTTCTCTACACCTGGAAGACTATTCCAAAAAATGGCTCCATGATTTCTTCTCTACTTTATTTTCTTGCTCTCTGTAAATGTCTATCTGAGAGTTGCCGGAAAACTCTATGGTAAAATGATGTTCCTGTATCATTCGTTATTTCCATACCCTGCTTACTTTGCTTCATAAAATTGATTCCAATCTGATATTGTTTTATGTGTGTGTAGTGTGTCTGTACTTCTGTGTTGTTTTATTTTTTTCTCCTCCATTAGAGTATAAGTACTATGGTGGCAGCAATATTGTCTGTTGTGTCAGGTATTGTATCACCAGTGCCTGGTTTATAGCATTTGTTTAATAAATACCTGTCTAACAAATGAGAATGTGGATGGATGATTTTGCTGCAGTATAAGTTAAAAGACAGTGGAACAATTTTTATAGGCTACCAAAAGCAAAAAAAATTTAGTACTAAGTTGAACAAGTAGAAGGACTCTGAAATGGTTTTGTTCTTATACAACTGAAGAAATCAAAAAGTTCTTTTATGATATTTTCTATAATATTTCTAATTAATTCATACATCTCCTCTAGCACATTGTAAAATAATTAAAATGCAAGAACAAAAGGGAAATACATACGTTGTCCAAAAGATCACCAGGATGGTTAAGTATTA
The DNA here is from genome assembly GCF_000001405.40 of Homo sapiens. NCBI lineage: Eukaryota > Metazoa > Chordata > Mammalia > Primates > Hominidae > Homo > Homo sapiens. Next base: position 53,919 of record NW_003315920.1, on the reverse strand, counting down.
ATAGTAAAATGGAGAGCTTTATTGGTGATGTTGGTTTGCAAAATGGGAAGAGACAACAATCTCTGGTGTGTGCCAAAGGTGCTCTCTCTCAGAAAAGGGGAAAGGCAGGTAGTTTTATGCCTCACAGGGTCTGTTTCACACAACAGAGTCATACATATTCACCAAGTTTGGGGAGAAATTTATAGATATTTATGAGATAGTTGAGCACATGAGCAGTGGGTTAAATGTATATGTAATATACAACCCATGCTCACTTTGGGGTAAGATTTCAACATTAAAATTAGGTAGAATTTGGCTCTTTAGGTCAAAAGGTGAACAATAGGACACAAAGACAGTTCGTGTGCAGTCTATATAAGCTGGCTGAAACTGACTTAAAGTCTGCAGTTCCTTATTAGGAAAGAATATTTGTAAAGCCCTTCCTCTGTCCAGTCAGAGTTGTAGTGGTCTGGGTTGTAAATCAGTGTTAAGAGGTGTCTTTACATTTGCTTGAAAGCTCTTTTTCTTACAGAGTTTAGCAAGAATGAGATTTTTCTTACAGCCAAAGGAATTTAGAGCTTTGCCATGCCAGCCAATTCCTGAACCGTCAACTCATAGCAAACTTTTTTTCCTTAACCTTGGGGTCCATTTTAGTTGATAAAGTTATGTCTATTTTGTTCTTTCAGATCACACATACATATCCAAATTTATGACATGAATTATTATTCACCTCCTATCGTTATTAGCTTGTGTATATCCTTTACTTATGACCCTGGACTGAGAGCCAAGTATTCATCCATAATTACTAGATTGGTAGTAGCTAGATGAGTTATAATTTGTTTTGGTTATTTTTTTCTGTGATTATTTTATGTAAATTTGCATATGTTATACAAAAATGTGTATGTGTGTGTGCATGTGTAGGTGTGTGTGTACATGCCTATCTGAATTTCTTTTGGGAAAAAATGTTTCTAGTTTTTTGAAAAAATTTAGAAGTCAATGTATAAAAACCCTTAAGAAAACCTATGGATATCTGATTCGAAGCACATACTTGTTCTGTAGATATACAGCTTGTAAAACATAATTAAAAGCAAGATGAACATATGGATATATATTTATGTATATATATATTATGTATATATATTTATGGGACTGGAAAAAGGCCTGATGTGCAATGGGTAAGAAAGGACTGAGACAGTGAATCTTTTGGTTCTGGGTCTGGAAGAAAGCAAGGAAGGTGAGTTGTTTCCTGTTCAAGAGTCTGAGACTAAGTTTGCTCCGTGGAAAACGTGAAACTTCAGCTAAGGTAAACACAGGAACAGATGGTTGTCTCGTTCATGTAGAATCTGACAACACTGTTTTCCTCTGCTACCTGAGGACATAGCTCCGTTGAAGTGTATTGCCTAAGGAAGATAAAAGGCAGAGACAAAGTCTTCAAAACAGGAATTGAGTAAGCACACACGGGCAGAGTGATTGGATTTGTGACGTCAGGCGCTGACTCAACGATACGGCCTTTGGGCTCCCAGTGAATAGAATCCTCAGGATATCAGACAAGAGTTGGGAAAAGACGACAAGATAAAAGAGACTAAAAACATATACAGAAATGCACACAAGATAAAACTTTAAACCAGAATTACATGAAGAAATATAAGAATCAGAAGTTGGATTCACTGTCGGCAAAATAAAAACATTCTCACATTTACAGAGACACAGAGAGCATAGCTATCCACAGTCATACACTCACCAAAAATATTATTAATTTATTTCATTAGGCAGAATATGCAAGCAAGTGTAAAGAACAATAATGGGCAAATCAATTCATTAATGCGTATAATAAGTCACGGACTTTAAAAACATTAACAAATTTTCTTTGTAATTTTAAAAACAAATGAACAATGTGGACTCTATAAAAAGAAATATGTACAGAGCTCAGGGTTTTTTGGTGCTAAAGTATACTAAGATATATAAAGAACAGGGTAGAGATTCTGAGACATTTTAAACTTCTAGAAAATATAGCAAAATATAAATTTTAAAGAGACATATAGACACTATTGGAAGAAACTATGCTTCACAGCTTCTAAACCATCAGAAATAATGCGTCAGAGGGAAGTGTATTTAAAAAATTGCCTTGAGCTAGGCACAGTGGCTCACACCTGTAATCCCAGCACTTTGGGAGGCCAAGGCAGGCGGATCATGAGGTCAGGAGTTCAAAACCAGCATGGCTAACATGGTGAAACCCTGTCTAAAAATACAAAAATTAGCTGAGCATGGTAGCACACACCTGTAATCCTAGCTACTCAGGAAGCTGAGGCAGGAGAATTGCTTGAACCTGGGAGACAGAGGTTGCAATGAGCCGAGATTGCGCCCCTGCACTCCAGCCTGGGCAACAGAGCGAGATTCCGTCTCAGAAAAAATAAGTAAATAAATAAAAAGTTGCTTTTGGGAAAGTACATAATAGAAGAAATAAGAACATGGAAATTTAGATTCCTGCAAGACAAAAGAAAATAAGGAAGAACACACAACTATTCCTCCTTGCTACCCTCCACACAAACAACAAACAAACCATAGAAAAAATCACATACTTCATCACACTGACAGGTCAATAAAAAGAAGAATCTTATAAATCAGTACAGAATAGCTCCTTACAAACATCTTAGTAACTACAAAAGAAAAGACAGTAATTTACAGTGGAGAAAGCTGGCAGACACTTTTCTAGCGAGTGATCATGGTTAAAATCACAGCTAATGAGACACGTCAATACCACGTGCCAGCTGATCTAAGGCACCGCAAAGAACACAGCATCAACTCTGTGATGTTCCTGCAAATATTATGTGACTTAAATTAAATCATGAGGGATGATTAGAAAGACCTAATTGAATGGACATTCCAGAAGATAGCATCCTCCTATCTGCAACTCACTGCCAAATGATTCTAGAGAAGAAAAAAAGAGAGAGAAGGGAAGATACGTAGAGGACATAAAAATGACAGAGGGGGAGAGAGACAGAGAGAAAGGAATAGAGAAACAGAAAAAATAAGAGTTTGAGAGATATTAAAAAATGGTAAAATACTTTGCATATGCAAGAAGTGGGGGAAAGGTATACAGAAAAATTACAAGAATTTGTAAATTTTTGTAATTTTTGTAATTTGTAAAAATTACAAATTCTTGTAATTTTTCTGTAAGTGTAAAATTAAATAAAAATAAAAAATTTTAATCATAAAACATTAGAAAGAGATTAATAATGTTTTACTTACATTTCTATTTTAATTCATAAATAATAATTGTATATATTTGTGGGGTACACTATAAAAATAAGTATTTGAGGTGATGGATTTGTTAGTAATTATTAATTTTTTAAAACTCATTTAGTAACATACTTAGACTAGGAGTTTCGTGTTTGTTTTAATGAGCTGGTTTTGGGGAAATATAGCATAAAATGAGAAGAAATTCGATAATGTATAAATGAGAAGAAATTAGATAATTTATAAAATGGAAAATACAAAAAACAAAACCACTAATATTTCAACAAGAATGTAAAATAATGAGGGACTTCTAGGCATTAATATATGCTCAAAATGTAAAATCATAATTCACAGTAGAACAAGAATAATTTTATAAATAACATATTATTGATAGAATTTAACCTGTTTAAATGTTTTTCAACCAAATGGAAAATGAATGGGAAGGAAGCCAATACATAACATAAAAAGGCAAAGTTAAAAACATAAAAGAGGAATTTTGAAAGATTCCTGAGATAGGGAAGAATCCAGAATCCAATGTGGAGCAGCTTGTCACTATGAAAATTAAAGAGGAATCCTGGGACTGATAATCCAGATGATATGGATGTCTGTGTGCGATCTTCAATATGCCTATTTTGAGATAATGGCATTTGGACTTGCCAATAGAAGATTTTGAGTTGAGAGTCCTCTCCATGCAGTTGGTAGTTGAAACCAATGGAAAAAAAAAAAAAAAACAACACAGAGAATGTGCATCAGATTTGGCCAAGAGTGAGTCCAGGACAGAATACATGAGAGTACCATTATTTAAAAGAAAGCCAGAGAATAACCACTCTGAAAGTGGGACAGAGTGGGAATTGGCAGACACTTGTGTGAGGGATCCTGGAAAGAACAGAAAGCAATGGACTGTTTTAACACTGGGCACAGTGGCTCACGCCTGTAATCCCAGCACTTTGGGAGGCTGAAGCAGGTGGATCACTTGAGGTCAGGAGTTCAAGACCCTTGGCCAACATGGCAAAACTCTGTCTCTATTAAAAATACAAAAACTAGCTGGGTGTGGTGATAGGTGCTTGTAATCCCAGCTACTCGGGAGGATGAGGCAAGGAGAATTGCTTGAACCCAGGAGGTAGAGCTTGCAATGGGCCTAGATCATGCCACTGAACTTCAGCCTGGGCAACAGAGCCAGACTCTGTCCCCTCCCTACCACACACACACAAAAATAAAAAATAAATTAAAAAAAAGAAAGCAATGGACTGTTTTAAGAAGATACTGATTTAGATTTAAAACGCATTTGATAATGTTCTAATGTTATCTGTTGAGGCTTGCTACCATTACAAGGCCAAAGCTCATTGACTTGTGAAGGCAAAAGCCAGATTGACTACTATTCTAGTAAATGCATGGAATGAGATAAGTTTTCATGCTTCTCTGCATGTGGGCCATATACATATATGTGTGTGTGCATGTGTGTACATTTGTGGTACCTAAACAGAAACTATACAATAGTGTTGGAATGTAAATAGAGTATGTAATGTTAAAAACAATTAGATTGGTTTATTTTTAGTTTAAATTTATTTTTTCTCTATATAAAACCTGTTATAATATAGAACCTGGCACATACAATAACAAGTAACTGAAATTAGTCGCTTTGTGAAAATGTGTTATTATTCAGTGACTTTTTACATTATTAAATAACTGACGTTGCTAAGACATATATATGTATATATGTATATAAATACATATATGTGTATATGTATATAAATACATATATGTGTATATGTATATAAATACATATATGTGTATATGTATATAAATACATGTATGTGTATATGTATATAAATACATGTATATGTATATAAATACATGTGTGTATATGTATATAAATACATGTATGTGTATATGTATATAAATGCGTGTATGTATATACATGTATGTATATATATGTATTATATATATGTATATAAAATTAACTTTGTGGCCTTCTGGCTCTAATTTTTACATTAAAAGTAAATTCATATAATTATGTTACAGCCCCCAGAGTTTTTTGTCGTGCACTCATAGATAACTAATGGGCTTTATCCAGCTTACAATTATTTTAGCATGTTTTCAAGAGAGCAGGCTTATTATCTATCTTTACTTTTATTCCACGTAGGCATGCTTTTGCAATCTCTACAGTTACTCCAATATTTTAGACTTATAGGGAAAATGTAAACAAACCAAAGCTTAATTTTTCCTCAACTTGAAATTACACTGCCACCAAACCTTGTTATTCTACCCTCAAGAGAATTACTAGATCATATCCCTTCAATTTATATTTTCTAGGAAAAATAAACATATGTCTACTTTAGCCTATCTTTCCTGAATTTCTCTACATCTCTTTGCCAAGATTTCATACAAAATAGTTTTCTCTATCTTTTGTTTTATTACTTCTTGCCTCCAAAAGAAACAGCAATCACAAACACTATGCCTAGAGAGTATTAAAAAGTGTCAAATCATCAGCTTTCCATTGTCCTATTTTTACAAAGCAGAACTCCATGTGGAAAGAGAGCATGTCAAGCACACTACATTACCATGTGATTTAACATGACAAATTGAAAAGATCTGATATGGGTAATGGAAACATTGATGGACCTTTAAATACAGTGCTCAGGTTATGTTTCTATTCATAAAACTCATGCTCTCCGGATGCATCCTGAAACACTCTAGTGGCTTAAGATGCTAGAGTTAAGAAATAGTAAATGCCATTTTAAGGAGAGAGAAACTTTTCACCCATTTAAATAATGGGAAGGTGAAAGGTTTGTTTCATCAGTCACAGTTCAGTAATGTCCGTCTTCATTGTTGAGTCAATATGTACTTCACGTCCAGTCCCTGAAGGAAAGAGAAACAAATCAAAACACTACTCTGACATCAGAACATATTTATGAAGAACTCTTTCTATAAACTTTTGTCAATTTTCCATATTAACCATAATGCTGCCAGATGATTACATCTTTCATTGAAACATAACAAGAACTTTACATTTGGGATTCAGGGTGGTATTATTTATTTTTGGAGGGCTTTGTAGAGTCAGGCTATCAGGTGCCAGTTGACGTTTTTTATTAATCTGGATAGCATGATATTAGTTCAGAAGGCAATTTCCATTTTTAAGGTTATGTCTCAGAAAACTGTAAAAGGGATTTTAGCATGATGAAAACTTTGACTATTTTCTCATGAGAGTCTATCAAACTGTAATTTCAGGTTGAATTTTAAGATAATATCAGATCTGTGGATTGTGCTTTAACAATCAGTAAAGTGCCACAGGATCTCAGGTGTATTTTATGAAGAACTTTGAACCTGACAAGCCACAAGTTACCCTAGTCAGAAATATTCCCTCTAAAGAATCCCCAGGGATATTATACTCTAGGAGTATAAAAATATAAAGCTGGGCTTGGCATATATTTAGCTAGAGAAGAAGTTTGAAGTCTTTCTGAATCTACTCAAACTCCTGTCACATGGCCATGTCATTCACTTTTTGTGATTATCTCACATCTCTGACTTCTGTCTTTGATGCTGTTTATTTTGATCTTGTCTTTTGTCTTCTGGTGAGTGTCCCCACACTGTGTCATGGCTTCCTTATGTTAGTTCTTGTCAAGAAGATAGGAAATGATATTTCAGTGCAAGGCACTGAGGATATGTGTAATGTGTTTGGAAAGTTTTGACATCAAAATAGTACTTTTAGAATCACATTAAATAATTCAATTAAAAAAGAAAAGTTAAGCCAATAAGATAAAACTGGTGACTATGACAATCATCAGTGTGGCAAATTTGGCACTCATTATAATTAGCAATAATATTCACTAAATTTTAAATGCCATTTCTTAAATTTCAATTTTGATAATAAATAATTATAGTAAAAACAGCATGGAATTTCTGGGATACTCTTGCTAATCAGTCAACGTTCAACTTCAAGAAATGCTAACTAAATTTAAAAAGAAAAAAATTTAATTCATCTCCTTCATGGTGATCTTCCTAATTTATATATGTTTTCCTTCTGTTCATCTTTATTTTTGAACAATTAATATTTAATCTCTCCATTATTGTCTCCAAGAACCTTTCTGACTGCTCAACTCTTTCAGTGGTATTCCTTTTATTTAGTTCCTTGGACCCTCTTTAAATTTTATTTCTTTTATTCATTCTTTCTTATCAATTCGTTTGCTAAATATGCTAAGGTAATTCAATGGGGAAATGGCATTAATTTCAAGAAGTTTATAGAAAGTACTAAATGTCAATATGAGGAAAAAATGAACCTAAAAACTCAGTTTATGCCATAAACAAAGATTAAAGTGGATCATAGACTTAACCATTCAAACTTATACATAAAAGTCCTAGAAAACAATATAGAAGAAAATTTCTATAATTTGGGGAGAAAGTAAAGATTTCTTAAATAGAAGAGCTAAAGCAGGAACAAATAAAGATACAATAAATGAATCAATATATTGTCTTCACCCTATAGGCATCATTAAGAGAATAAAAAGATAATACACAAATTGGGAAGTTATTTTATATTCCATGTATCTGTTAAAAATGGGTATATAGACTATATACAGAACTATTTAAATCAAACACAAATTATTACAAATAAGACATAAAAGCAAAATGGACAAACTATTTGAGCAGACATTTCACTAAAGAATGTTTATGAATGGCTAACAAATACATAATCCCATTAGTCATCAGATAAATGCAAATTTAAACTGCTACTGGATACTAATGCATACTCCTTATAATGACTATAAGTAAATAATAAAAATATCAAGAGTTGCCAAGGATGTGGAGCAACCAATTTTATATGGCTGGTGGGAAAAATATTTCAACTACGTTGACAAGCAATTTGGCAATTTTTAAAAATGAAGTTAATGCAGCTGGGCGTGGTGGCTCACGCCTGTAATCCCAGCACTTTGGGAGGTCGAGGTGGGCAGATCCATGAGGTCAGCAGATCGAGACCATCCTGGCTAACACAGTGAAACCCCGTTTCTACTAAAAATACAAAAAATGAGCCTGGCGAGGTGGCAGGCGCCTGTAGTCCCAGCTACTCGGGAGGCGGAGGCAGGAGAATGGCGTGAACCTGCGAGGCGGAGCTTGCAGTGAGCCTAGATCACGCCACTGCACTCCAGCCTGGTGACAGAGCGAGACTCCATCTCAAAAAAAAAAAAAAAAAAAAGAAGTTAATGCTGGTTTCACTTCCAGGTATTTGCCCAAGAGAAATTAAAATTTAGTTTATACAAATTGTTTCAAATGAATATTCGTAGTAATTGTATTCCTAAATACAAAAATTTGGAAACAGCTCACATGTCAATTAACAGGTAAATAGAAAAACAAATTTGGATATATTTTGTAAAGTGTAATACTTCTCATGCATATAAATGAATAAAATGTTGATACGCACATGATATGTCCACCTCAAAACACTTTGTTGAGCAAAAACAAGCCAGTCAAAAGTGTGCATGCTGTGTGACTCCATTTGACTCCTCCTCACCACAAGATCGGATATGTCCCACAGAAAGACTTCACCTTCATCTCTGATCTCAAAATGAGAAGGCACGTGGATGAGATCCAAGCAAAGCTAAGCAGACTAAACCACAGTGGGAAGAGCACAGCTGCTGCTGCAGACGGGGCATAAGAAGCAAATCTTTTGAAGAAGTTACTGAGATTGAGATTTTTGTTATCGCAGCAAACCTGATAAGCACAGGAAAATACAAAAGACCCAGAAGAAAATGGATACAATTTCAAGAGTGATTTCTTTAAGTTTATGGGAAAAGGTATGATCTCATACACAATGCCTATGTCTGTGTAGAATATAATCCAATGTAAAGTGGAACACATGGAAAAAAAATAAATTACATAAAATAATTGTATTTATAAATATGTATGGACATGCAGTAAGAAACCCTGACATGTACATTTACACCTTTCAAAAAATGGGCTGGAAAGTTTATTTAAATTACTTGAAACATCCATCCTTCAGTAATGGAGAAATCACAATGACAAATTCCTTCTATGTGTCTCTTTTGAAAATTTAAATTACCTTTTTGTTAATATATTATTTGATTATCTAGAAAACTTGATTAAATTTCTTAATATAAAGTTACACTCTTCTCTATGATAGTAGATGTTATTTTAATTTGTATTTTGTGTAGTAAACAGATTCCTAAGAAATATATTTAAGACCAATCTCTTAAAATCATACTACAGATAGATATTTGAGGGTGGTTTGGAGATCACTATAATTAGCCTTAACATATATCTACAATTAAACTCCATCCTCTTATACTATGCATATCCTCAATCTCCAAGTTATGCCCATCTCTTAAATAAGTCCCAGAATTTCTATTTTTCATGTTGACTAACTCTTAAATTTATTCAGTTCTTCTAATTTATAGCATACAGCTTTATGTATTTTTTCTTTATTTCATTTCCTTGTGATCTGTTTTCTCACTACTATAAAAATAGTGCTTGTAAAATAAGAATCAGGATATATCTTTAACATAATCAGTAATGTCCTATAAATTCCAAAATACCTACTTTAGTGTTTAAGTAATTCATGATCTGGTTCCTGTCTAAATTTGCAGAAGAACCTTTAATTTTACTTCAGTACATGTTCTATAATCTGACCATATATACTAACATGTACTGAATTGTTATTTGAGCCAAACTGTCTTCTAAGAACTTTGCAGATATTAGTACATTTAAGAATCTCAACAATTCTATGGGATAGAAAGTCTGGGAGCAGTCTGTCTCCGAAACCACCATGATCTAACAAGACTTGAGGGTCACTGCAAACACGGTCTTACAACTTTTTACTAACTTTATAAATTTGGTATTTCCCCTATCTTGAATGCCCCCTCTCCCTGTATATAAATAGAAATTCATTTTTTTCAAAATCTATTAAAATCCTTGCATTTTGTTAAATTGTTAACATTTTAATTTAATTCTTAAAAAAATGTAAAACCAAAATTTAGTGTTTAATTCACTGCCTCCTTCCTTCAGTAGAGAATACATTCTTTGAGTATTGGCATGTTTTACCAAACTTTAATCTTCACTGAATATCACATAGATGTGTTTTGTACATGCTGACTGAATAAATAAACCAAATTTATGCATTAGTACTGAAAATCATAAGCCAAAACATTTGACACAGCTTTGTCAAGAGGACAATTGGGACAGAAAGGTCTGGAGTTTATAAGGAATCAACATAATGTGGCTGTCTTCATTGAGCACTCCATCCCACAAAGGATCGTTCTGAAGGTCATGTCTTACATTATAAATATTTTTCATTCAATACATAGAGATAAGTATGTAGCTTTGGGAACATAGGGAGGTTTCATCCTCTCTCTCTCTCTCTCCCCCTCTCTCCCTCTCTCCCTCTCTTCAAATTAAAATATGTATCTCTCCAGTCCATTCTCCACTTCTGCAGCATCATGTTTTTATTATTCATCTGAATGGGTTTGACTTTATCCAGTATTCAGTAATCCTTGATTGTCTTCTAGTTTGATCATAGAGAAACTGTCTGATGCTGAATTCTATGCAATTTCTTAAAACAACTTGATAATCAGTCATAGGTTTTAATTTAAAAGTCTATGTAAATCTTCCCTGCTCTGCAATGTTTAAAAACGTTTAGTAACTACAGAGAAACATATATACTATCCAAACAACTTCATGATAATATTGAAAGGCCATTTACATTGCGTTTTTATTTTTTTCCTTTTTCTCAAAATCTTAAAAACTAAAACCTGGTTAAAGTGCAAATATCCATTTCTCTGTGAGTATACTGGTATAGTATTATAATTAGATATCAAAAAGGTTTAGTTATACTTTTGTCAAAATCCTGGTAGTTTTTTTTTTTTGGAAAAGGAATGTAAAATATAATTACCTACTCCCAATACAGATAATATATGCACATCTAAAACATACATGTGCACATACACCCATAATCATGCACAGACATACCTATGCACATTAAAAGGTAAATTTAAATTTTAAGCTGGTATAGTTCTGCAAAAGGTTGTCTAAGTTTTTCTCTGTGCATTCTGTTATCTCAAGCGAATATATCCGTTTAAGTTGGCCACTTACGATGGCATATTTCTTCCATTACATATCCTGTGTAGACAAGTAAAAATGCAAATGCTTCTTCTATAATTATGAATTTCAATCAAATCTCCTTTTTTAGGTATTAATTTTTCTACAGTGAATTATGAAGTCCCAATTACTCATATTGCCCTTACTACATACATTAGTCCCACATTACACAAACATAAATAATATTATAATAAACTACTAAACAAATTTCATTATAGTAAAATCCATGATTAAATCAAATACCAGTAACTACATATTATAAAAATAGGGCGTTTATGTATCTTGTAGCCCTTCTTGACTATGAGCTGATCAAAAGTGGAAATTTATTTTATTTACTTTTTTTTTCAAACCCAGTACCAATTCTTTGCCTTCCATAAAAGATGATAGTTACTTAATGATGACTTTTGATAAAGTGTAGTTTAGTAAATCGTACATTCATTAGAATTTTGTGAAAATTGCTTAAGGAATCAGGAATCAAAAAAGATTTATTATCACCTTAGAAAAGCTATTTAATGATTTAAGCTTCATGTTCCTCCTCTGTAAAGAACAAAAATAATATTAACTGTGATTAAATTACCTAATGAATATTGATAGGTTTTAGAGATGTGACATAAAATTTTTGCATATTATTGATATCAATAAAACTATGATGCTAAAAACATTGCTAACTCACAGCTATAGACAGGAAGGGTTCTAAATTTCTCTGTAGGACATTTGCAAATACAATTTTTGTTATTTTAATTCATTGAAACAGAAGACTAGAAACCTGTTTGTTTCTGGTTTCTTTCAACTCTGTGGATTTTGAGTTTTAATTTTGTAAAGCAAAGTCAAAGATTACTTACTCTGATTTGATTTTCAGTTCATTTGTAGAAAATGCATTTTTCAATGAAAACAATTATTTTGAAATATTAAAATTAGTATATCCAATAAAATGAAAAGAACAGAATCTAAAAATATTTTTAAAATATGTATCATCTACCTAAATTGCTATGAGTACTCTAAGTTCTATACAATTTTGCTTAGAAAGCTGTACTTCAATTTTCTTTATCACCTTTTTTTTTTTTTTTTTTTTTTTTTTTAGACATGGGGTCTTTGCTCTGTTGCTCAGGCTGGAGTACAGTGCCACAATCATAGCTCATTTCAGCCTCAGACTCCTGGGCTCAAGCATTCCTCCCACCTCAGCCTCCCAAGTAGATGGGACTACAGGCATGTGCCTCCACACCTGTCTTGTACTTAAATTTTAAGTTAAATTGAGTTAAATTTAATAACTAGATAATTTCAATTATACAATCATCACTACATTTGCAAATACATCTTTTCTACAGTATTTAAAATTATCTGTTTTAAATAATACAGACGATTTTTTCTTCTTAATCCTCCAGAGTAATATATTGCATAATACATTTAAATATAATTGGCCTGAAATTTTTAAATTTCTTCTGATGGAAAAGATATGTAACTAACTTAAATATTTCCAGCAGAAATATGACAAAGACTATTGCAATAATCTTATCCAGATTTTGCATAGTTATGTTTTAAAAATCTGAGGTAAATTTAGGAATATTTTGATTTATTTTTTCCTTTACTTTCAAATATATCAGCTTTATTTTCATATGTAATCAGAGTGCTTTGAGAGCTCATATCTTCAGGTGACGATAATACCTTAATTCTGAGGCTTGCTAAAATACAATATACTTTGCTCACTAGGAGAAACCACTCTTAGTAGCATCATATTTTTTCTTATGGATACTTTCCTCCCTTTCAATATCTTGGAATATTTAAATGGCTCTTACGTCTACCAGTAGTAGTAGTGGAAATCAGAAGTGATCAAAATTCTTGTTATATTTTGAGGGCTGGGTAAAAGAATTTGCTAATGGGCTGAACATGGGATATGTAAAAAAGAGAAGTGTTTTGAATGAATCTAAGGCCCTATTAAATAAAGAGATGAGATGTCAAGTCTTTGTATATAAAAATAATGCAAGAAGAACAATTTAGGAACTGGGAAGAACAGGATATGTATAATCATGATGTCATCTTTCATAGAGAAAAATACTTTTTCATGTCTACTAGAGATAGAATGAAAATACTTCATAGAGGATTGTTTAATAATTTTATAAAATGTTCAAGGGATGTCAAGTTATTTTTATGGAACTGGAATTCAGGAAAAACATCTGGTTGGTCTGGTCTATACATTTTGAAATCATTAGCAGTTAGGTGATACTGAAAATTCTGAGACTCGATTAGACAACTTACAAAGTGAGTATAGATAAAGAAGAGAAGAATCATTAGAGAAGGTCCTGTGAGGGTAAAAAGATGGGGAGAAAATGGAAAAGAAGACTAAAAGGGTAGTTATAATCTGGAGAATAACAAAGGAGAATGTGTTCTGCTGCTATGCAAATGAAACGTTGATTTAGAAGAGAAAAATCCAACTATATTAAATGAAATTGAATAGTCAAATACAACCTTCTCCTACTTCCGATTTCAGCTGCTCACTTCTATGGTCATACCTTAGCCTTGTCATTAATAATGCGGAAATCCTTCAATTATCTAAATATTATCTCCCTTTTTCATGCCAACTTCTCAGTTTCCACCTTATTGCTTCTATTATCCCAATTTAACTTTCCTTCAATGATACTAGGACTCATAAGCCATTAGTTTTATCACCTATTTAATGTATCACAGTCTCATATTCCTTTATATAACATTGATTATGTGGTTAATCTTATAATTATTCCCCTACCAATACCAACTTCCCTGTCCTACCTTGTGTATTGCTACATTGTATCTCTGGTTGAATTCAACTATATGCCTGTCTCATGCTTGTGCCCTCAGTGCTGAACATGGCTGGAGAGGCACAAAGGACAGCAGAGACACTTGGCTGTCACTCCTCACTGGTCAGTTACTTCACAACATATGCAGACCGCTTAGGGCCCAGAATTTGTGCATTGCCTTAGGAAATTCACTCTCCTTTCTCCTGAAGATATGTAACAAGATCTGTCATATGTCTTAATCCTACATTGCCTTCTCTTCCTACTTAATTGGGAAATAATGATAAGCTTTCTTCTGTGTTCAATGAGAAACTAGGAAACAAGAAAGCCATAGTATTATCCAGTGTCACCAAAGTTAAACAGGTTTCTTCCAGAGTATAAGCCACTGAACTTCTCTTTTTTATTTTTATTTATTTTTTTTAGAGCATTAACTTTAGAAAGCTTGTACTAGTAAATCCTTTCTCTGCCCATTTGAGATGTAAATCTTTTTTAAAAGCCTCTAACCAGTTCCAAACCCAGGAATGTCTTTCTCAAGGACCTGGGATCCATCTCTTGGAAATGTAATCATCAAGGAAGATAGAGCCCCTACCTCCCAGCCTCTGTGGGAGAAGAGAAGCCTAATTTCAGCAGGGGTGGCTTGCTCCAAGCTGTTAAACTACTCCCTGTCACGAGGATAGAAGAAAATTTACTTATCTTTTTTGGCAAAGCTAATGGAGAAACGTGAGGGGCCTGGTGATGGTTATTACTACATCTCTGAAGCTAGGAACTATTGGAACGCAGATGCCCAAGTCAGAAGCTCAAATTCTCTCTCCAGGACTGCCACCACACATTTCTGAAGGGCCACTACAAGTCAGAAAAAATATATAAAAAAGAGTAGGAAAAGTCATTTTCTCTCAGATTGGGAGTCAGATCTCTCAATCTGAAGGTAAGTCAGTTGAAGAGAGAACCTGAGAAATGTGATCTTCAGGCTTACCACTGTGGGGCGCATAGCATGCTAGAAAAAAGTAAGTATGAGGTTTAGAAGTGGAGAAATATACACTTTCCAAAATAGCCTCTGGATATTTAGTATTTAACCACATTTAAATGTACCCTTCTATGCATAAATAAACTTCTGTACCAGAAGAGCAAAAACATTATGCATCTACGTAACAGGAAGCAACTGTCTTTGTGAAAAAACAAGGACACACTTAACTTGCCCTCCAAAGTTGAGACAAAATACCTCAAGAGACCCTGTGTTCATTTCTGGTTATGTTAAATACCCCTCCTCTTCTAGTTCGTTCCTCATATAACCTGCATATTCTGTAACATAAAGGGAAATTACAGAAATGATCACAATCGTTGATATATACGGCGCGATTGTGTAATTTGTCTTTGAACGCTTTTGAGAGTGAAAGGATATAATAACTACTCCTGGATAACAAGCAGTAACTAGCAATTTTCTGGGCAAACAGGTATCTGTACTGCACTCTTTATATAAAATCATTTTAAAATGGGAAAGAAAAATTTGATTATATGTTTAAGTTTATTACAAATATGAAAGGAAATTTACATAGAATTGACTATTTTTATATAAATGGCCATATTTGATCTTTATCACTTTTCTCTTCCATTATGTTGTATTATTCTCAGCAAGTACATCAGTAAATTGTTACTTACATAATGGGGCAATTCAAATTTTAGTTTTGCAGGATATGAGACATTGTTGCTATTAGATTTATAAGGTTACTGTAATCCTAAGAGTACTAAAGATCCCTCAAGAGGATGCCCTGAGTTCCAGACAGATTCTTTATGTGCATTTCTCCTGATAAACACATTTAATTATACCAGGGTTTACAGGAATCCCTTAATTTCCTGTTGGCTCAGTATCAAAATGGTCAAATATTACATTATAACTGTAAAGAATCATTGTGAGCTTTGAAATAAATCTTTCTTTGGAATTAAAATATCAAAACCACTAAAATTCAAAATATTAGGGAAAGATTTAAATGAAGGTACTGTTACGTATAATAACATAAGGCATTCCCACTTAGATTTTAATTTCATGTATTCTGGCTTTAAGAAAAGCCATGCCAAATGTTGCTCTCTAACTTAAATAATTGATTATGTTCTTGGGGTAACAACTGAAATTTCTGCATTTCACATAGCTGCAAAATGATTTTCTTGTTAGAAAGCAATGTTGTATAGGACAGGATAAGAGTGAATTGCAGGAATTCTGAGAAGATGGTGGCAATATAGATGGAAATGTTTAATCTTCCCGGACAAAGCAACTGGAATAATAATTAAAAAAAACTACACGGACAACATTTGCAACAAACGAACAAACAACTAGGTCTGTTTCAGTTATATATTGCTGCAAAACAAATCACCTTACATATAAATGCCTTAAAACACACTTTGTATTATCCCTCACAACTTCACAGGTCAAAAATTTGGGGAGGGCTCAAGTTAGTAATTCCACTGTATGTTGCATTGACTGAGGTCTCTTAGTGATATTCGACTGGCAGCTGGTCTGATCTGAAGGGCCAAACACATCATCCCTTACATACCTGTGACCTTAAAAGGAAGGGCTGAAATACTGAGGTCAGCTTGAACTATCAGTTAGTTGACCTACTCAAGGACTGTCCTTCATATTATCAAAAGGGAGAAAGATTTCCTATGTGATAGCTCCAGGCTTACAGATGAGCATTGCAAGAGAAAGAAAATAAAAGCTAGTAGTGTCTTGAGGAATGGTATGGTGTCATTTGCACCATCTGCTATTTATTTGTCTGAACACTCATGAGGACCTCCCGAGTTCAAGGTACAGAGCATAGACCTCATCTTTTGACAGAAAAAAAAATGTTAAGAAGTGACAGCCATATTTAATCTGCCACACTAGGTGACAACACATGCTAATAAATGCCAAAATATGAGCAGGTAAGAATAAAACAAAACCAAGACAATTATTGCATTGTTACGTTAAAAGAAACAGGAAAGGCAGAAGTGCTTGTGATGTCCCAGAGAAAGAGAACCCCCAAAGTGCTGTTGCAGTGTCACTGGAAATTTTGGAAGCAGAAATTGGGAAGGCAAACTGCAGACTGGAACAAAACTCCTACTCTTCTCCCCTAATTTAGCTCCTCTTAAGAAAGAGGAGATTCTTCTCTCTAAAAGGCACCACCACCATTCTTGTTTCTCTTTCTGCCTCCCATCAATCAACTCGCACACATCCCATTTGTTCTACCTTCAAAGTACATCCAAAGTCTGACTGCCTCCCTTCACCTTCCATTATTTCACACCTCTGATTTCAATACATTTCGTATTTACCTTCCCAGCTTCTTCCTTTGACTTTTTATTACAGACCACACTCAACTCCTAAAGTGTTTGTCAATAATCCTTTCAAAACACAATTCAGATCTGGATTTTGTAGTAAGCAGGATTAATATTCCTTTGAAAGGCAAATCAGGTATTTCTTCATTACCCTGCTGAAAACTCTTCCAGTACCTCCCATCATCCTTAGTAAATGCATCTCTTGAATATGAATGGCCTCTAAGCCCTATCAAATCTGGTTCCTTTCAGTCCTCCAGGACTCTTCCTGTACTGTTCTCTCCTGAGCTCACTGGGATAAAACATAGAGCTCCTGCTGCTTCTAGAGCCTGCCTCACCTGAGCCCATCCAAGGCCACTATGCTTTGCTGTTCCAGCTGGCTGGAATCTCTTCTCTCCTATGTGCACCTGGTTCTTTCCTCAACATTTTCAAGTATTATCTCAAATGTTACTTTGTCAGTATATGAATCTTTGGCTACCCTAATTACATTTGTAATCCCCTTCTGGCCCAGCAATTCCTAATTTTACTTTTAAGTAATTTAGCATGGTATGTATTCAACTTATTTTGTTTATTTTCTAACGTTTCACACTAAAATGTAAACACCATGAAGTCAGGGCTACAGGAATTTAGTAATCTTAAGTAATTTAGCATGGTATGTATTCAACTTATTTTGTTTATTTTCTAACATTTCACACTAAAATGTAAACACCATGAAGTCAGGGCTACAGGAATTTAGTAATCTTAAGTAATTTAGCATGGTATGTATTCAACTTATTGTGTTTATTTTCTAACATTTCACACTAAAGTGTAAACACCATGAAGTCAGGGCTACAGGAATTTTTATGTTTTGCTCATCACTCCAAGTACAGTGACTGGAATAGCATCTGGTACATCAGAGATAACGTTGAGTAAACTTGTGGAGGGATGAATCAATTAATGAATGGCAAGACCCCACTGTAATCGTAATAACATTAGGGGATATCTACTTCTCATTTCATATATTTCCAAGAATCTGTTTAGAAGTAAACAGATTCTGTTTAGAAGTAAAAATTCTAAACAGATTCTTGGAAATACATGAAATGAGAAGTAGATATCCCCTAATGTTATTACGATTACAGTGGGTTCTTCTCATTCATTAATTGATTCATTCCTCCACGCCAGGCACGGTGGCTCATGCCTGTAATCCCAGCACTTTGGGAGGCAGAGGCGGGCGGATCACGAGGTCAGGAGATCGAGACCATCCTGGCTAACACGGTGAAACCCAGTCTCTACTAAAAATACAAAAAATTAGCCAGGCGTGGTGGCAGGTGCCTGTAGTCCCAGCTACTCGGGAAGCTGAGGCAGGAGAATCGCTTGAATCGGGAGGCGAATGTTGCAGTGAGCCGAGATCACGCCACTGCACTCCAGCCTGGGCGACAGAGCGAGACTCCATCTTTTTAAAAAAAAAAAAAAAAAAAAAAAGAACTTTTAGCAATAGTTGTTCTCAGTTTTGAACTTTCATGATAATGTAGAATTATTTTCTAAGAAGAATGTTTTAATCATTGTAATTCATATCTATAGTCTGCAAAATTTTCAACTAACCCTTGTGAGCTCAAAATATCTGAGACAGGTCTTAAAGATGTACCCGTGACAGTCCTGATGGCATGTGCCCAAGGCAGTCAGGGTACAGCTTGCTTTTATACATTTTGGGGAGACATAATGCATCAATCAATACATGTAACATTTACATTGGTTTGATCTGGAAGAGAGAAGGAGGATGGCTTCCAGGTCATAGGTACATTTAAACGTTTTCTGATTAGCAACTGGTTGAAAGAGTTATTATCAGTAGAAAGAAATATCTGGGTTCAGGAGATTGAGACCATCCTGGCCAACATGGTGAAACTCTGTCTCTACTAAAATACAAAAAATTAGCTGGGTGTGGTGGCACAAGCCTGTAGTCCCAGCTACTCAGGAGGCTGAAACAGGGAAATCCCTTGAACCCGGGAGGCGGAGGTTGCAGTGAGCCGAGATCGTGCAACTGCACTCCAGCCTGGTGACAAAGCAAGACTCCATCTCAAAAAAAAAAAGTCTGGGTTATAATGAGGTGTTGGGGGCACTTAGGTTTTGCCATGCAGATGAAGCCCCCACTAGCAGGCTTTAGAGAGAAAAGACTGTCATGTTTCTTATCAGACTTAAGGTCTGTGTTGATGTTAATGCTGTCTGGGTGTAATGAGGCATGTCTGACCCTCACTTCCTGACATGACCTGAACCAGTCTTTCAGGTTAAATTTTAGAGTACCCTGGCTGAGGTCCATTCAGATGGCTGCAGGGGGCTTTCGGTTTTTATTTTTGGTTTTCACCTTACATGAAGCATAGAATTTGATGTATTTAGGGATGGTATGTTACAGATATGTTACTAATATTACTGATTTTTCTGGGTTTTATGAAACCATGATGACCAGTTGCTGCCATTTTAAAAGCCTAGGAAAGTGACCATAATTCAGAGAGTTTCCAATTTATGTTATCTCCAAATTTTGCTGATATATTGTTGGTTATACATAGGCAAAGTTAAAACATTCGTTCAGAAATAACCATTGTCATTATTTATTGAGTGTTTGTTCACTGAATAGTCTGACATTTTCCTTCATAGAAAAGTAGTGATTTGCCATCTTGCTCAAGCATAACTTTGCTTTGTGATTTTGTGACAATTTAGCTTAAAAGTTACTGAGTTTTAATTAGGCTAATAGCTTAAAATTATTGTTTTGATTACTATATAAATTTATTCAAAACTACTATAGTATCCTGATTAAAAAGAAGAGATTCTGATTGAAAAGATTGGAAAAGAAAGTCAAATATCAAAACTTTTTGTAATTTTAATTGTTTTTAGTTTTTGTAGGTACTGATTAAATACCAAAACTTGTAGCACCAATACTCATATTTAAATTTACATTTATGCATGTAATACAGTCTAATTTCTTGCCTAGTCCAGGTTCCTAAGTTGATTCTTGGTAATGAAGTCAACTTTTTCTAGGTATACTCTCTAATGGAAATCATTAAATACCCTTAATAGGAGTGTATGTATATGTGTGTGTGTGTGTGTGTGTGTGTGTGCCCATGCATGTGTGTGTACATGTATTTCATGTGAATGATTTTTCAAAATGTGCAATCAGATTTTATTAATAAGCACTTCATATTAAAACAATGTATTTTGATAAAACAATGCATTTAATCATGAATAAAAGTGTTCTTTCTACACCTTTAATACATGACTGCACATACTAACATTTGCTTCCTAATTTTTATAATATTTGAAACCAGAAAGGGTTACCATTTTTAAGAAAATGAAAACTGTAACCCTCAATTGTCTCTTAATATTTATGTATAGCTTCAAATTAAGAAACTGAGGATTTTCGTCATGCTTTCATGGATTTTGGAAGCTGGTCATTCTTGCTCAGTTTGCCCTTTGATAGTTAGTAGAACTGCAAATTTAAGTAAGTCATTTGCATTTATGTATATTGAGGTTTTCCATTATAAAAAGGGCATAATTGTAAAAAGTGAAAAAATGTATATCAAGAACTTGGCAAAGTATGTGGTAAAAATAAACACACAATAAATAGTGACAACAGTTATTTTTGAGTGAATGTTTTAACTTCTAGTTGGAGGGTGTTTATCAATTGTATATTCTTTTTTTTTTTTTTTGCATTTTACACCTGTGTGACTTTTATTTTATTTTATTTTTAGTTCCAGGATACATGTGCAGGATGTGCAAGTTTGCTACATGGGTAAATATGTGCCATGGCAGTTTGCTGCATCTATTAACCCATTACCTAGGTATTAAGCCCGGTAAGCATTTTTTTTTTCCTGATGCTCTCCCTCCCCATCCCCACCACTGACAGACCCCAGTGTGTGTTGTTCCCCTCTCTGTATCCACGTATTCTCATTGTTCAGCTCCCACCTATAAGTGAGAACATGTGGTGTTTGGTTTTCTGTTCCTGTGTTAGTTTGCTGAGGATAATGGCTTCCAGCTCCATCTATGTCCCTGCAAAAGTTGAAGTGTGCAATAAGACCATACATTGTGCTGTGAAATATATTTTATATTTTTAAATACTTTAATATATGCATTGTTTTATATAGTTTCAAATTATCTAAATGCATTCCTTGTTTGATTTGCCAATAATTGAGAACAAGCAAATGAGGCAAATTAATATCTTTTGAAGTTGAGTGAAGTAATAGAACTCCATAGAGACTTAATTCTAATATGACTATAAAAATATATTTTACTAAGAATTATTTAGTTTTCTTACAATGATGTAAAGAAGAAAAACAATTAAGTTTGATCTAAAAACAACCATTAGTGCTCCAAACCCAAAATAGTAGTAAAAATAACAGTTATTATTGTATTGTTATTATAAAAGAAATATCAAATTCAGGATGCACTCAAATTCGATAAAGTAGAGCCCCCTATTTATATGTTCTAGAGAAGAGTAAAATGTTATTAAACTCAATGGAGCATTTCTGAAAGGTGTAGACTAACAACTATCAACCAGATAAAATTTTGCTTGCCACAGGGCATTTGGAAATATCTAAAGACTTTTTCGATTGTCAACTAAGAGTGGGAGTTCTACTGTGATCTAGCAGATGGAGTCCAGGGCTGTTGCTCAGCATCCTACAATTACAGGATAACCTCTCACAACAAAGAATTATTCTACAAAATTTAATACTGTCAAGGTTCCTGATGTATAGAAACTTGAAAAGAACATGAAATTTTAAAAAAGAAACCTGTTGAACTGCTATGAGAAGGACATAGCCAGTGCTACTCAAGACCTGAAATATCCAAAAGCCAAAGCAAGCCAATGTTGTAGGCAGTGCATGGGAGAAGTTGCTGTTGTTGATGTTCCTCTTGTCCTTTTTACACACGATCTTTGAAAGCATCCATAGCATCCTCAGGTCTGGCATTTTCTAAATGGCGAGACTCCTGAAAGAGAGGACACTTTCCCAATAGAGCAGGTTTCATAGGTTAAGCGAATTCTGAACCCTGCTGTGGCCTAAAGTGAAAATGCCTGATTAGAAGAGTGTGTCACAGCCATGCTTAATCTCACTAGATCATCCCAGTGTGAGCATTCCATGGTTGATAGAAAAGATGACAATTAAGATGATGAAATATATAAAATAGGAATGAAAAGGGATTATTTTGAGATATCTCAGACACTAACTCAAAGTTTAGAGTGCAAATAGTTTATGTGGAAGTTAATCCCAGGATTCACTAGAAGGAAAATCGATAAAGTGTGACTACAAAGCCAGTAACCGCAGAACACCTGAAGCTAAATTCTTCTACAGAACACTATCCCACAAGTAAGAGCATATGCCATAGAGCTATCTCTAAATAGAGAATCAAGGCACTGAAGTTTTGGTATATGAATACTCATAAGTCAATGGATGAGGGCTGCTCTATTGGGAATATTTTGCTGTACAGGGGGAAATCTTCCTATAGTCACTTTGCCTTATTGATCCTTGTTTCCTTTGGAATCATGCTGGAAGGTAACCACTGGTATGTTGCAGCTGGCCTGTATGGCTGTGAGGGAGGGCTAACTGTGCATCTCTTCCCAGTTCAGTGGTCAGGGGCATCATATAGGTGGCTTCAAATAAATCCTAAAGAATTTGCACCAAGGAAAACAAGGTAAGAAAATCAGATATTGGAAAATTTTTTGCGATGTCTTTTTCTCAGTGAGTTGGTTGTTAGACCTTTATCAGCACAGCACAGCTCCCACTTCCACAGTCTTTCCTATAGACAGCCAAATTCACTGCCTGGAGAAAAGGCACAGCCTGGTCAGCATACATTTGCTAGATCCATTCTCGGTTGCCTCTGACTATTTTTTCTTTAAACACTATATTTACTGTATAGCAGTCTTATAATACAATACATGAACCAATATTGTACAATATTTTATATTGAACCAGAATGAACCAATAATACAATAAATGAACCAATTAATGAGACAATATTGCTGTCAAACAGCACCTTTTACCATGCATATCAAATCTAATAAATTTCCCTTATGGAATATCAGAAAGAAATTAATTGTTGATCTTTCTTTGTATCAGCTGTTTAATAATTCATCACAATAATAAAATTACAAGTTAATGCTTCAGTATACCATGAAGGAGAAAATACTAATCAGGAAATACCATTATCTTTTCCAGAATATTATAAAAACAGTTCTAACATTTTTTAACTGTCATGTTTAGGTGAAATAAAGCTTAAGTAGAAGAAATAATCTATTGGTATGTAACATAACTGAGTTTGAAAATCGTTCACCTTTAATAAGCAATAAGAGCCCTGTGGTGTCTTCTTTAATTCCTTTAAATAATTTATCATTTGAATCTCCCCTGCCTGGAAGTTATATAGGGTAAGTTACTACATATTTTTTTCTTCATCATGCCCTTTAGCTTATAACTACATCAAAGATAGTTCTGAGCTGCTCCGAAAAAATGCCTCCTCTTCAACATGCATGCCGTTATTTTAAAAGATGTTATGAAACAACATGGCTTATTTGAAAAGACCACAGGATTTATTTTAAGATGTCAAAATAGCACATTCAACATTGGCTTTGATTTTTATTTCTTTATTTAACATGGTTTTGATATAGTAAGCATATTAATTTGGTCCACTTAAAAATTTATAAGTGTTTTTCTATGCAAAGCAATGAAATAATCAGAAAACTGAATATCAAAGTATGGTTGAAAATGCCTGTGACAGCCAAACCTCAGTCTCACAAGTATTCATGAGTATTATTAATACTCTTCAATTTGTGATATATAAAAATGAGATCTTTAGTGAATGAGAAAATTTTCATTTTGGTTTTAGTGTTTCACTTAACATTGATTAAAAAGTAAATAAAATATTTCATAGGCCAAGTGCAGATCTTAAATGGGAGTATAAATCAACTATCATTCTAGATGTTATATTACTATTTCATTGTCCTTACCCAATTCATTATGCCTTTTCATCAAAGCTTAAATAAAATTAAACTGACACTTTCAGTTGAATAATGTGGCATAGAAGTTGAACGTTAGAATGATTTCTTTTAACATTTTCCCTCTTGTCATTTATTTTAACTACTGGCATTTCCCCAATCCAACTCTCTTGAAAATTTCCAGTGAATGCCCATGTTTGTGATTAAGTTAATTTACTTAGTAGGCAGAAATTCTTCCTAGAAGATAAGCAGAGAATATAACAAAATCAAGAAAAATAATTTATGTATTAATAATCTGATACCTTACAAATGTTGTGATAAATGTGCACATTTTTATAATCCTTAATTGTAGTTTATGTTTGAACACTCCAAAATATCAACCACTGTAACACTGCAAAGTATTAGGCACTGAAATGAGATAAGGAATTTTTCACTAAAATTGTATTTAATTTAAATACATATAACTTAACAAACTTTATATTTAAAAGTAACATTTTTATCTTGTAAAATTTGTCTTCAAATATTATTTTCTTTAAATATATGATCAGTAATTTAGAAAGCATTTTCATATAATGATATGTCTTTATTTACAGATATTAAAATAGTTGATGACCAATAACATTACAAAATTATCTTTTGCTATCCAAATTTTCATTATCACCATATTTGCTTTTTCTCTGAGGATATGCAAAAAAGTATGCAAAATTCATTGTCTGAAAAATTCATCCTAACTAATTTTCAAGTGAATATGAATGAAAATGTTTAGTTTTGTTCGAGTTCGAGAAACTATAGGAGATAGTGTGTCATATCCCAACTGTGTGTATGAGAGGAGCACCTCTTGTGCTCAGTAAATGTTGCTTAAATGTGTTTGTTGTCCCTCTTATCTTCCCTTTTCTTACTATGACCTTGTTTCTGGGTCCTCAAGTTTACTCTACTAGGCATTTGGAACACAACCACTCTAAAAATTTTAGATTCTGAATTCTATGATAAGTGAGGAAAGTTGATGGGCCTCCCTCCAAGCCTAATCCTCCTCGTGAGAGTAAGCTTGGATGCACGTTTCATCCACTCTCCCAAGAGACTGCACTCTATATTTAATTCAATTTAATATGAATGGTTATGTTGTGGCAAATTTGTTTAAAAATTACTTTAGTAAAATAAGCAATAAGCAACAATTATCACTTGCTGACACATGCATCATCTCTGTGAATAGAATAGAAGGAGAATAATTTAATAAGCCATACATTAATTGGATAAACTGCTAACGGATCATGAGAATATAATCTTAAATTGGCGTGAATATTATACTATGTTCTCTATTCCTCCAGAAATACCAACTTGTTAATATGAATTCTTGATCAAATGCCTATATGACTATACTAAAATGAAAAATCCCACTTAACTTTCAAAGTTATCTATTTGATTTATCTATAAGAAGTCTGGTTGAGGGACAAAAAAAACTAACACTGTATTATTCTTGCAGTACTTCTTTTACTTTTACTTCTGTGTTATGTTTCACAAGCTCTCAACTGGTCTAGTGGTTTGTACTGTATCAACTTAGCCAAGCTTCAAGATTATACCGTTTAGTTAAACAGCAGGTAGTCAATATGCCAAAACTTTAGGTATGTACAAGAACAAATTAAGGTGTACCATGAACTATCTATTAAAAGAGAGAGAGAGAGCGATTGTTCAGTAAATGGTTTTCCTGTATATTTTTCTAGCTATGATATATTTCTGATTCATTAGGGATAAACCAACTTTTCTGGAGTTGCATACTGTTACCAAAACACCAGGGGTTTGATCTGGGTCCTGCTGTTCACTGCACAGAAACCCAATGACTGAGATGATGAGTGTTGCCAGAGAAGAAGGCTTTAATTGAGTGCTATAGCCAAGGGGGGAGCTCAGTCTCAAATCCATCTCCCTGACTGACTAAAGCTAGGGGTTTATATAGTAGGGAAGAAATGTAACAATATGTAAGAAACCAGGAGCTAGGGAGGGGCAAACAAATCATGATGAATGAGTGGTCTGGCATCTCATTTTCTGGATACGGTGATCTGTTGAGTTTCAGCCTTTGCTAGTATTTTTGAGCGGCCTAAAGGAAAGAACTATGTTAAAACAAACATAAATTTCAAGCTTTAAGACCAGAAGGGTTAATTTATATGTTTATTTAAAAAAAGAAAAACTATCTATGGGACTAGTGGGTTGGTTTCAGTACTAAGCTTCAAGACACCCATTTGCATATAGAAATACACATATGTGCATACATGTATTTCTATACATATATTCATTTATAAGTCTATATGTCAACTTTTTAAATGAATTATCCAATAAAATAATTTAATGAGCATTATTGATGGCAGTGGCAGCCCATCTGGAGCAGCTGCTGCCATGATGCCTCCTGCAGTGGGAGAGGTGTGGCCAGGGCCGAACGCTCCACAGAGCCAGCGGGAGCTGGGAACAGTTGGAAGCCCTGCTCCCTTCTGAGTCGGTAGGGTGGGAACTTCATGCTACATGGCCACAGCTGTGGTTGCCCAGCGATGGCTTTGGACCCAGGCATCCCTGTTCTCTTGTGGGATGAGAGCAGGCAGGAGCCCTGTGCTCCTGGGCACTGCTGCAGCTGTGGGCCTGGGAGTCTCTTTGCTCTCAGGAGCCAGGGATACCCCTACAGGCTTACAACTGCCTGCTCCTGCTGCCTGGCCTCTCTTTACTCTCAGTGCTCAGTTTGATCTTGGAGAAAAGTTGAGGCCGAGCCTAGGCACTGTTGCAACCCACCCAAGTATGTGCACTCAGGGCAGTGCTGACAAGAGAGCCCCCTCCTGACTTGGTACCCTCCAGAATT
Organism: Homo sapiens; assembly: GCF_000001405.40. Classification (NCBI taxonomy): domain Eukaryota; kingdom Metazoa; phylum Chordata; class Mammalia; order Primates; family Hominidae; genus Homo; species Homo sapiens. Next base: position 26,744 of record NW_003315920.1, on the reverse strand, counting down.
TGGGTCCTAATGAACATGGGAAGGAGGCCAATGAGGGAGCTGTAGGCAGTTGGGTGCTGGCCTACAGGCACCCCTCAGCACAAACAACCTGGGTGCCATGGATGAAGGTAGGAGGCAGACAGGCTCCTGGGTGGAAAGTGGCAGGTCCCTGGTGAAGTCACACTCAGGCCAGATACCACCTGAAGCCTGGAGGATGGGCTGATTAACCAGAATAGGAACTTACGGTGCTTTTTCTAGGCCCACCCATGAACCAATCAGCATGCACATCCATCCCTCTGAAGCCCATAAAAACCTTAGACTCAGCCAGACTTGAGGAGATGATGGGACAGCCAGCTGCAGAGTGGACCTACCCAATACAGGGTCTCCTCTCTGCTAAGAGTTGAACACTCATTGGGACACCCTGGCTGCTGAGAGGAGCTACCCACTGTGAGTCTCCTCTGAGCAGTTCTATTGCTTGATAAAGCTCCTCTTCATCTTGCTCACCCTCCACTTGTCCACCCACTTCATTCTTCCTGGAAGTGGGACAAGAAATGGGGACCCACCACATGGTGGAGCTGAAAGAGCTGTAACACAAACAAAGTTCAAACAAGCTTCTTGCTCACCACATTGCCAGAGACAAGGAGAGAAGAGAGAAGGAGAGAAGTGCTGTGGCCCTTTTGGGATCCCAGACCTAGGAGCTTCCCAGACAGGGCTATGATACCCTCTTTGGGGCTTGGCAGTTCCTGGCATCTCCAAGCTTCTGGGTACCACCGCATTCCCTAGTGCTAGCTGTGGAAGCTGTTTGAGGTATGCCTGGTCCAGCTAGTCTTGAAGGGAGCTCACACCTATGCTAGCACCTGGAGCTGACCAACCCACTGCAGCCAAAATGCCTGGCTGTGTGTGGTGGCTGGACCTCATGCTCACTCACACACACCACTCTCTGCTTGTCTCACCTTTGGTGGCATGGGATCCAGGGTGGCAGTGTGAGCTGAATGCGGCCTACCAGGCTGAGTGAGTCCAGCAGGCCCAAGCAAAACTCAGGCAAAGGTGCCACACTGTCCACAGAGGCTTCCTACTGGTGAAGTGACATCTCAAGGATCCTGTAACATTATATTTATAAGACTTTTCTCAAAATATTAACAGTATTTCAAATAATATTATTTAAATATATGCCTAACCATTTAAAAATACCATTTAATCTAACCTCTTAATGGCGAGAGCCCGGGAGGCAGAGCTTGCAGTGAGCTGAGATCATGCCACTGCCCTCCAGCCTGGGTGACAGAGCGAGACTCTGTCTCAAAAAAAAAAAAAAGAAAAAATTCTGAATGCAGAGGTTATGATTACCCATTTTATAGATATTTATAAATATTTACAGATATTTAACAAATTGAAAGATTTATTCAAAGTACAGCTCAGTGGTGTGCCAAGGTCTATCTCTAATATGATTTTCATTGATTTTTCACTTGAATTATAGCTTAAATAAATACTCTTTCTTTTCAATGCCTAGAATTAAATAAAATCTATCTAGAGATTACGTATATGTATATATAATTGTAAAACAATATTATACATAATTCCATATAAATATATGTAAATATATTTATACAATGTATGTATAGATAGCATTCAGCCACAGTATCATTTAAAAGCCTTCTGTATTCTGCTCTACAAATTAATTTATTCTTTTAAATCTTATGTTATTTAAATGAATCCTAAGGACCAACCTAGACCTCAGATTTTTAAGGATACATCTTTATCTTCACCAGTTCTAATAGTTCCTCAGCTGTAGTCAAAATGATGATCTTTCCTATATAGAAGATTTTAAATAGATATTAAATTCTTCACCCCCTACTCTCAACATTATTGGTTTCTAAATTAAGTCAGTGCTACTTGTGTACTTCACGCAGGACAGCATTATTTGGTTATCAGTCATTCATACCCTTATTGCTTGGAGAAAACAAAAAACAATAAATAAAACCACAGTTTTGAGGGTGATAAGAATATCCCATGCTTCTTTCCCAGATACTCGGTTTCTAAGCATGGTTTGCAAACGGATATGGCCATGAAACCTGGTTATCACCTTTAAAGTGAAATCTGGTGGGGTTACAATAAAGTTAAGATCAACCCAAAGAAAAACCCTTTTTGCTCACCCTTCACACTCTTTGAATTTAGGAATGAGATACGAAGTTGAATAAAGAGGCTGTATAATGAAACTCAAGGACAACACACAAAAAATGGCTAAAAAGAGCTATTGACTGATGAATTTGAGGGTATGCTATTTGACTCTCTGGCAGTAGGATAAATAAATCTGTTTCTTTAGCTACCATTAGTTGAACATTCTGGGGTTCACCATTGATATAATTCTAAAGTGCATAAACAAATATTATTACACCTGTATGTGTGTGATTGATGAAACCAGTGCTAATTAATATAGCATTGTAATTGTCCACTTAAGAGGAAAAAGTCAGTCAGACTGCTCATAACATATATTATACTCTTAAATATGAGAGAAGAGCTTGTAAATATATGGAAGAAATAAAGTATATGCCATTTTCAATCATAATTTTAAAGAAAACAAGTGTAGTAACACTGATATTTGAAGAAATAGACTTGAAAAAAATATTACTAGAAATAAGGAGAGGTATTTGATATTAAAAGTATAAATTCAAGAAAAAAGTATCACAGCATAAATGTGTATGCACTGAATAACATGGGCTAAAATATATAAAACAACTTAGTTATAAGATGAATAAGTTCTAGCGACCTAATCTACAGCATAATGACTATAGTTAATATATTGTACATTGAAATTTACTAAAAAAGTAATCTTAATTATTCTTAGTACATGCACACACAAAAGTAACTATGTGAGGTGATGGTTTATGTTAATTTAGCTTGATTGTGGTAATCATTTCATCATGTTTATATTTCAAAATATCTCATTATACACCTTAAATATATAAAATTTTAATTTGCCAATTATACATCAATAAAGCTAAAAATATGTAACAAACATTCAAGATAAAAGGAGTAATATGTAAATTTATTATCATATTTGGCAATTTTGACTCACCACTCTCAGTGACTGAGAGAGCACAATGGAAAGGCAATTAGAATACAGAAGATTTAAACAATAAGATTATTCACTGTAACTTAATTGATATTATAGGACATCACAAACAATAGAAATCAGTTCCAGTAAAATATGACATTACATCTTGGCCATTTAGGATTGTGCTTGTCAATGGATAATTAGGCACATATAAAATGATTTTGTGTTGTTTGGGGGTGGCTAATACTGATTATTAAAGAGTAATAATGTTGCTATTACAAAATAAATTTCTTCAGTCATACTTGTTGTTTTCCTAAGAAAATGTCTAGATCTTTGAGGAATTTCCTCCTAAGGATAGATTTGTAGAAGCATTTATTTTTTGCGTCCTACTACACAAGTTAGAGGGTGCACACACACTCATCTCTAGGACAGTGGAGATACCCTCTTAACTGCTGTGTGACATGGACTTGACCTATCTGTAAATTGACATTTTTTTTTCACACTCACAAAAGTTTCTCGTTAAAATTCAGTGAACGAAGTGCAACGTGGGTTGGATTCTGCATCAGAGAAAGGACACTAATTGAAAAACAGATAATATCTGAAAAAATGTATTTCCTTAATAAAATCAGTTGAGATGTTTATCTTTGGCTATTGGTTGTTTTAGCATATGCTATGGTATGAATGATTGTCCCCTCCAAAACTCATGTTGAAACTTAATGTGGCAGTGTTGAGAGGTGGAGCCTTTAAGAGATGATTGGGTCATGAGGGCTCTGCCATGATTGGATGAATGGGTTAATTCATTAATGGATTAATGGGTTATCACGGGAGTGGGACTGTTGACTTTATAGGAAGAGGAAGGAAATCTGAGCTAGCAGGCTCAGTGCCACCTTAGGACTCTGCAGAGAGTCTTTACCAAACGAGGGACCAGGTCCAGTCTCTTCACTGTGGACTTCGCCTCCAGAACTGTAAACAATTCCTTTTGTTTTTTGCAAATTATCCAGTTTTAGGTATTCTGTTATAAGAAACAAAAATGGACTAAGAATATAATCATATATGAACCTGTTTCATTTCTTCTAATAGATTGTGAGTCCTTGAAGGACAAATATCATAACATAAACATTTATATAATTAACTCACTGATTTTAAAACTTTTGAGTGTCTACCATATCCTTGCTACAAAGATTATGTATTGATAAACAAAACACATGCTGCATGTATTCCATAGTCTTTTGGGTGGGGATACGTATTAAGAAAACATAAATAAATACATTGTTAAAATATACAAAGAAGGATGATTACAAGTTTTATGAGAAAGAAAGTTATAGTACAATTGGGGCTCAAAGAGATACTGTCTGAGTAAATAAAATTTAATCAGAGATTTGAATATTAGTAATACTTTTCCAAGAAAACTTCAATTGAGAAGGTTATGAGAATGATGGAGATTTTTCTGAGAAAAAGAATAATATGCATAAAGTTTCAGATTTGAGAAAGATGTCATAACAAATAACTAAAGTAAAACCAAAGTGGTTAGAGAGCAGAGCTGAAGGAAGAGACTGATGTCAACTGAAGCAAGATAATTTAATAAGGGATACCTCAAAATGCAGGCTTTAGATTCTATCCTCAGAAACAAGGTGAAAGAGGTTGACAATACCAATTGCTTTATAACATTACTTATGATGCTTTTCTTGTAAATACATATGATAAACTAAGAAAAACAGAAGTGGCCGGGTGTGGTGGCTCACCCCTGTAATCCCAGTACTTTGGGAGGCCGAGGCAGGTGGATCACGAAGTCAGGAGATAGAGACCATCCTGGCTAACATGGTGAAACCCCGTCTCTACTAAAAATACAAAAAATTAGCAGGGCGTGGTGGCGGGCGCCTATAGTCCCAGCTACTAGGGAGGCTGAGATAGGAGAATGGCATGAACCCGGGAGGCAGAGTTTGCAGTGAGCCGAGATCGCACCACTGCACTCCAGCTTGGGTGACAGAGCGAGACTCTGTCTCAAAACAATAATAATAATAAATAAAATAATAATAAAAAAAAGAAAAACAGAAGTGAGGAGACAAGTAGTAGGATTTTGGACCAAAAAAAAAAAAAAAGATGCCCATTTGAACTAGACTGAAAGAGAAGGAATTTAGAGGTATGAGAAGAATTTATATATATTTGGGGAAAAATTAACAGGATTCAGGATTTAGTGATTAATTGAATGGAGATGTTGAAGAAGTGTCAACAAAGGATTTTAGGTTTCTAGAATAGATCATTTTCCTTAAATGGAGCAGTACATATTTGAGGTGGGGATCAAAAAGTAAATTTTACTAATGTTTGCTTTATGATATTTGTTACATATAAATGTAACCATCAACATACGAGTACGGTCCACAAAAGAAAGTCTAGAATTAAAGATATACAACTGAAAGCCACCATAATATAAAAGTTACTTAGTGTCATAACTCACTTGCTTTACTCTCTGTATAACCTCAACAAATAGTTCATGATTGAGTCTCTTTCTAACACACACTCCTGAATGCCATTATAGCATAAATCAATCTGAATGTTTATGGTTGTTTTGAAAAAGCAGTACATGAAATCCCTGATAGGAGACAAGATATGCATGAGATATTTTTATATAAACTGCATTGTCATAAAAGTCCTTAGACTTTCATTTGTGTAAGCAGCATTTGAAGAAGGCTGCTTTAAGTTGAATGGTATTTGGGAATAAATCTGAATTACATTTTAATACAAACCATAAAACCAACAATAGGAAAAAAGTACTTTGGGCTTCACAGAAATTATCTGTAAAGATAAACGGACAATGAAAGGTTTTTAAAAAATCTTAATGAAGTACTTTTTTTCATATTGTGATATGACTAAGAGTGATTGCAATGTTTTAACAACCACCAAATGAGGTTAGATATGTATGATTCTAAAGAGAACAGGAGAAACATAGGGCTTTATTGCATATATAAATATTACTTTTAAGTGTTCTGTTTGAGATTGCTTGAATTTTTGAGATGAAATGCAACTCACATCTCTATATATGAAGTGCTATACAAAATAGAAATGAAGATATATAAACTGACAGTAACCTTTATTATATTAGAATATACATTCCCAGCTGAAGTTTGTTGACTACTCTCAATTTTTTTTTTTTTTTTTTTTTTTTTTTTTTTTGAGAAGGAGTCTCTCACTGTTGCCCAGGCTGGAGTGCAGTGTTGAGATCTAGCTCACTGCAACCTCCTCCTCCTGGGTTCAAGCGATTCTCCTGCCTCAGCCTCCCGAGTAGCTGGGATTACAGGTGCCTGCCACCACACCCGGCTAATTTTCTTTTCTTTCGTTTTTTTTGTTTGTTTTTTAATTTTTAGTAGAGACGGGGTTTCACCATGTTGGTCAGGCTGGTCTTGAACTCCTGACCTCGTGATCTGGCTGTGTCGGCCTCCCAAAGTGCTGGGATTACAGGTGGCTACCCTCAATCTTAAGCTATCACATTTGCTTAGTAAATGTCCACATGTTACCAAATACTTTTTTTTTTTTTTTTTTTTTTTTTTTTTGAGACAGGATCTGTTCTGTCGCATAGGCTGGAGTGCAACGGCACGATCATGATGGCATCTACCTCCTGGGATCAAGTGATTCTCCCATCTCAGCCTTCCGATTAGCTGGGATTATAGACGCATGCCACCATGCTGAGCTAATTTTTAAATTTTTTGTAGAGACCCTGGCTGGTCTCAAGCTCCTGGGCTCAAGCAATCCTTTCACCTTGGCCTCCCAAAGTTCTGAGATTCAGGTGTGAGTCACCATGCCTGACATACCTCATACTTTTATTCGGAAGGTCATAAAACATGCAGATATATTCTTTTTCAGTGATTTAAAATAATCTAATATTTTAAGAGGCACAACAGTTAAAATGCATACTTTAGAGAATTAACATTAAAGTCTTAAATATTAATAATCAAGTTTTAGTTATGTAAAACTGATTCTTCTTTGTATTTTCATGGTTAATATTAATTTGAGTGAAGTACACTTTGAGAAATAGTAGGTATTTTGAGTTGAAAAGAGGCAAAGAGTTAATTTACTATTGAATATTTTTAAATTTTTTTTTGATTTTTCTTTAGAATGTTTTTTTCCTCTGTATAATCTTACTAAAACTCCAAAATAAAATTTTCCCAAGCTGAGCGGATCTGGTTAGTGAGATGAAAGAGAAGCATATTAAGGTCCCACTAAAAAAATAGAGATTTGCCAAAAAGGGCTGAAAAAACTCTATATTAGTCTTATCAGTCCATATTTGGATGAGAAAAGTAAATCTAGCTAAGTTATTCAAGTTTGCAGGATTATATTTCTGTCCAGGACTCCATATAAAACTATTTCTGTCTAGGACTCTATAAAACTTCCTACAATGGCAGGTAATAACTTTTATTCATAATGTTGACAAGATCATTTCTGTGGCAAGATTTGTCATTTATATTTGCATAGTATGTAATTTATATAACCTGTTATGAATTGCCAAGTTTAATTGATATACTTTTTGACATGACAAAAATAATGAAAAATGATAATAATGGACTTTTCCCCATTCTAACAGAGACTATTGGGAAGAAGGGATCAACTTGCTCAAATGTCCTATAGTAATATTCCCACCCAGGTCAGCATGCTTTTGGTTCTGCCTAGCAGAAAGACTATGGGGAGTTCTTATGCAGGATGCACTTTATTTGTCTACATTTCTTATTGAAAAACAAACTGTAATTTATAAATTATGGAGCATGAATGATTAGAGAGTGGATACCATTCTAGTATATGATATAAATAACACAACACTGAACAGAAAAGTTCTGAAACAAAAAGATCTCTTTTTATAGGTGAACAAGGTGTCCCACATGTAGTTCTCATAAGTCACCTCATGTATTAAACCTGAAACTAAAAATTATCTTAATGTGGGAACAAATTTATAATTTTGGAGATCTGCATTTGATGACCTTAAGAGAGTATTTCAATAACAAAATATTATTTTCCCTGAGCCTGGTACCTTCATATATTCTTTGAATTTTTTAGTACAGTTTGGATTTTAAATGTCTGATTCATCTGAGACTGATTGTACAGTTCAACACTTTATATTTTCATGAGCATTATAATTTGTTATAGTTTCCATTTTATCGCTTTTTAAAATTTACTGTATTAAATATGTTTTCTTATATAGAAATCAGTTTTGATAAATGAATTTTTGACTTCATTTTTAGCTCTTTTGGAGTTCATTTTTGTAACTATCATGTTTATGCTATACAACTTAAGATAGCATATGTTGGCACACCATTATGTGCAATGATGAAATTAGTATATTATTTTGGAGTTATCTTTAGAGAGGATCAATCTCCCTTAACAGTTGGTAAGGAGCCCTTCCAAACATCTCTCCAGTAAGTTGTCTCCAGCTGAACTGCAAACACTGAATAAGATAAAAATAAAAATTCATAGTGATCACAGCAAGACTCTATCAATCATTATATCTTTCCTATGTAAGTTAAAAAAAGTCGCTGTTTTTAGATTTTGCTCAGTGTTTTCTTAATCAAGCTTCCATGCAATATATCACAGGCTAATTTTATACTCAAATAATATTCTTAAAGCAATTAACTTTGAATTTTCTCCATATTTTTATGTTTTTAAATATTATGATGTAAAATTATTTGGAGGATCCAATACATATCATTAAGAATTATGTTTGTCAGGCAATAACAAAGAATGTTACCCCAACAAATAACAGCAGTTTAAAAACTTGGATTGTTATTTTCTCATAAAAATCTTGAGTTTGGCAGTCTAAGGGCTCATTATGCTGTCTCTGTTCCAAGACATTCTCAAAGATTGAAACTCTTGCTACCTTTCTGCTCAAATATATGCCTCAAAGATGGTCTCCATTCTCAAGATCAACTCGTGTTCCAGTAGGTGCTTCAGGTCTGGTCATCATAAATATATTTTGACCAGCATGGAGAATGAAATAACAAATTAAAAAAAGAAAACTATACTGCACTTTTTTCTATGGAAAATGTTAGACTCTGACACTTTACATATTTGCTTACATCTCATTGATTAACCAACAAAACATGAGCCCATGGAAATAACCTAATACAAGACAGAACTGGAAAAATGAGGGATTACACAACAGTATACCCTAGCAAGGATTCTGGAAACAGGCTCTATTTAAAACTTGGCTTTGCCATTACTAACTCTGAATTTTGGCAAATTGAGCTGTCCTTAACTTCCTCAACTATTAAATGGAAATATAATAATAGTCTCATCTCCTATTTTTGTGAGCATTAAATTTAGTAATATATTTAGCAGACTTAGAACAGTGGTTATACACTATGAAATCTTTAGCAATACTATTATTATTACTTATTCTGGAAAACTAAGTGATAGCTACAAGTTGGGGATCCCATTAAAATGAAGAAGGGGAAATGGAATTAGGAAACTAATTGGTATTCTCTTCACCCAGGGTATGATAAAATTATAAAAGAAAAGTAATCTGTAACATTTATAGCAGTGTTTTCATTTATATCAAAATGAAGTTTGACAAAATATACAATTTCACAGATATTAAACCTGTTTCTGAATGACTTTTAGAAAAAGAATGAAATTAAGGCAGAAATCAATATTTTTTGATACTAATAAAACAGATACAGCATACCAGAATCTCTGGGACACAGCTAAGGCAGGGTTAAGGAGAACGTTTATAGGGCTAAACACCTATATCAAGAAGTGATATAGGTCAAGTGATATAGCTCAAGTGATAACTTGAGTTCTTTCTAGAGCTCAAATTAACAACATAATATCACACTTAGAGGAACTAGAAAAATAAGAGCAAAGAACAAATCAAGCCCAAAACGAGCAGAAGAAAAATAATCAAAATCAATGCTCAGCATAAAGGACTTGACATGCAAAAATTCATACAAAAATCAACTAAAGCAAAAGTTAGTTTTTTGAAAGAATAACACTGGTAAACTGCTACTTAGACCAATAAAAAAGAGAAGGTCAAATAAATACAATCAGATAGCACAAAGGTGACATTACCACCGACCCCACAGAAATATAAACCACCCCACTACAGACTATTACAAATGCCTGTATGCAAACAAACTAGAAAACATAGAAGAAATGGATAAATTCTTGGAAACATACAACCTTCCAAGATTGAATCAGGAAGAAGTTGAATAATACCTGAACAGACCAGTAAGGAGTTCTGCAGTTGAATCAGTATTTAAAGACCTGCCAACGAGGAAAAGCTCTGTACCAGGTGGGTTCACAGCCTAATTTTACCAGATGCATAAAAAAGAGCTGGCACCAGTTCTACTGAAACTATTCCAGAAAAATTGAGGAGTTACTCCTCTCTAACTCATTCTGTGAGGTCAGCATCATTCTGACACCAAAATCTGGCAGAGACACAGTGAAAAAAGAAAATTTTAGGCCAATATTCCTGATGAAAACAAAAGCAAATTCCTCAACAAAATATTAGCAAACTGAATCTGGCAGCACAAAAAACCTAATACATTATGATCATGTAGGCTTTACTCTTGGGACACAAATTTGGTTAACCGTATACAAATAAATAAATGTGATTAATCACAGAAACGGACCTAAAACCAAAACCACATGATCATCTCAACAGATGCAGAAAAGGCTTTTTATAAAATCCAACAATGCTTCATGTTATAAACCCTCAACAAGCTATATTTTAAGGGAACATACCTCAAAATAATAAGAACCATCTATGAAAAACCCACCGCCAACATTACACTAAGTGGAAAAGCTGGAATATTCCTCTTGAGAAGTAGAACAAGACAAGGATGCCCACTCTTACCACTCCTATTCAACAGAGTACTGGAAGTCCTAGCCAGAGTAATCAAGCAAGAGAAAAAATTAAAAGGCATCCTAATACAAAGAGTGGAAGTCAAGTTATCTCTCTTTCCAGACAATATGATTCTATACCTAGAAAACCCCATAGTCTCTGCCCTCCAACATTGATAAATAACTTCAGCAAAGTCCCAGGGAAAAAAAAAATCAGTGTACAAAAATCAGTAGTATTTTTATACACTAATAACATCCAAACTGAGAGCCAACTCAAGAACACAGTCTTATTCCTAATAGCCACAAAAAGAATATAATACTGAGGAATACAGATAACCAGGGAAGGAAAGATGTCTATAACAAGAATTGCAAAACACTGCTGAGAAATCAGAGATGACACAAACAAATAGAAAAACATTCCATGTTCACTTAGAGGAAGAATCAATATTATTAAAATGGTCATAGTGCCCAAAATAATTTACAGATTTAATGCTATCCTTCTCAAACTACCAATGACATTTTTCACAAGTTTAGATTAAAAAAACTTCTAAAATGTATACAGAATAAAAAATAAAGAGCAATAAGGGACAAGGCAATTCTAAGCAAAAAGAGCTAAGCTGGGGGCATCATGTTACCTAACTTCAAACTATACTATAAGGCTACAGTAATCAAAACAGCATGGTATTTGTACAAGAACAGACATATATACCAATGGAACAGGTAAGAGAAACCAGAAATAAAGTTGCACACCTACAACCATCTGATATTCAACAAAGTTAACAATAAAAAGCAATGGGGAAATTACTCCCTAGTCAATAAGTGGTGCTAGGATAACCGCTATCTATATACAGAAGAATAAAACTGAGCCCCTTCCTTTCACCAAATATGAAAACTAACTTAAGATGGATTAAAGACTTAAAAGCAAAACTTAAAACTACAAAAGTCCCCAAAGAAAAGCTATTAAATACCATTCTAAACATAGGAACTGGCAAAGATTTCATGATGAAAAGTCCAAAAGCAATTGCTAAAACAATAAAAGAGCCACCCAATTGAGAAGTGGGACTTAATTAAACTAAAGAGCTTCTGCACAGTAAAAGAAACTATGAACTGAGCAAACAGCCTACCTAAGAATGGGAGAAAATATTTGCAAAATATGCATCTGACAAAGTCTGATATACAGGATCTATAAGTAGCTTAATCAACAAGAAAACACACTACTAAAAAATGGGCAAAGGACATTAACATACACTTCAGAAAGAACATATGCATGCAGTCAAGAAGGATATAAAAAAACTCAACATCACTAATCATCAGAGAAATGCCATCAAAATCACGATGAGATGCTTTAAAAAGTGCTAAATGAAAGTACTACCACTCAGAATGGCTATTATTACAAACTCAAAAAAGAACAGATGCTAGTGAGGTTGCAGGGTAAAAGGAATGTATACACACTGCTAAAGGAAAATAAATTAGTTCAGCCATTGTGGAAAGCAGTTTGAAAATTTCTCAAAGAACTGAAAAACTACCATTTGACCCAGCAATACCATTACTGGGTATATACCCTAGGGATATAAATTGTCCTTCCATAAAGACACATGCAATTGTATCTTCATTGTAGCACTTTTCACATTAGAAAAGGCCTGGAATCAACCTAGATGCCCATCAGTGGTGGACTGAATCAAGAAAATGTGGCACATATACACCATGGAATACTAGGCAGCCATAAAAATACTTAAATCATGTCATTTGTAGCAACATGGAGGTAGCTGGATGGCATTTATCCTAAGCAAAGCAACACAACAACAGAAAACCAAATACTAGAATGTTCTTCCTTTTAAGTGGGAGCTAAATATTGAGTATACATGGACACAAAGATGGGAACAACAGACATGGGGTCCTACTTGAGGGTGGAGGCTGGGAGGAGAGTGAGGATCAAAAAACTACCTATCAGGTACTATGCCTACTACCTAGGTGATGAAATCATTTGCACACTAAACTCTAGTGACATACAATTTACCCACATAACAAACCTGCACATGTATCCCCTGAACCTAAACTGAAAGCTGGAAGAGGAAAAGAAAATGGAGTTTGAGCTCATGTGTCTCTTTCCTTTGAATGTGCCACTCCAGTTAGAAATGAAGGTAGATTATTAAAATATTATATTAAAAATAGCTTTGGTTATAAATATAAGAGAATTTCAGTAACGTGCTATCAATAAAATTCAAAAGAAGAATCAGTTTTTCATGTTAAAATTTTAGGTGTTTTAATTTCAAAAACTGGAAACAAGCAGATGTATCAAAATATTTTACTTTTGAGAGGTAGGAGCAGTGGGAGTTAGAAGCAGGGCCTTGATAACCACATTCTTGTATGAAAGAAGCAGAAAGAGACAAACTCTTAAAGCTAGTCCATTAAAGTGTAGAGTCAGCATTCTTGAGAAGCCATGTTCTGAGTCAGTGATGCTGAGAAACATAAGGACACAAACCTGCTTGGTTGATGCCATGAGCCAGCTCAGTGACTGCATCTACAATATCTTGATGGCATTACAGGAGTAGCAGCCTGTCTTTGCTAGAAGAGAATTTGGTGACGCAAAGAGACCCAATGGCTGTGTGCATCTCCAACAATTGGAATTATAATTCAACATGAGATTTGAACAGGAACACAAATTTGAATCATATTATTCTGCCCCTGGCCCCTCCCAAATCTCATGTCCTTCTCACATTGCAAAATCCAATCATGCCTTCCCAATAGTCCCCGAAACTCTTAACTCATTCCAACATTAACTCAAAAGTCCAAAGTCTCATCAGAGACAAGGCTAGTCTTTTCCACCTATGAGTATGTAAAATCAAAACCAAGTTGGTTACTTCAAAGATACAATGGGGATACAGGCATTTGCTAAATACTCTCATTACAAAAGGGAGAATTTGGGCAAAATGAAAGGGCTATATGCCCCATGTAAGTCCAAAACTTAGCAGGGCAGTTGTTAGGTATTAAAGTTCCAAAAAGTATCTTTTGACTTCATGTCCTACATCCAGTGCACGTTGGTGTGAGGTGTGGGTCCCCAAGGCCTCGGGCAGCTCTGCCACTATGGCTTTGCAGAGTTCAGACCCTGAAGTGGGTTTGAAGGACTGGCATTGAGTGCCTGCAGCTTTTCCAGGCTCAGGGTCCAAGCTATCAGTGGATCTACCATTCTGGGGTGTGGAGGACAGTTCCCCTCTTCTCACAGTTCCACTAGGCAGTGCCCTAGTGGAGATGTTGTGTGGCAGCTTCAACCCCACATTTCCCCTCCATACTGTCTTAATAGCGGTTCTCCATAAGGGCTCCGCCCCTGCAGCAGGCTTCTTCTTGGACATCCAGGCTTGTCAATACATCCTCTTAAATCTAGGCAGAGGCTCCCAAGCCTTAACTCTTGCACTCTGAGCACCCACAGGCATAACACCATGTGGAAGTTGCCAAGGCTTATGGCTTGCATCCTCAGGAGCAGTGGCCCAAGATATGTCTCTATTGATTTTATCCATGGGTGGAGTTGGACTGGCTGGGATGCAGGGAGTAGGACAGTGGGTCCCTGGGCCTGACCCATGAAACCATTCTGTCCTACTAGGCCTTCAGATCTGTGATGGGAAGGCTGCCAGGAAGGTTTCTGAAATGCCTTCAAGGCCTTCCATTGTCCTGGCTATTAGCACCTGCCTTCCATTTAGTTATGCAACTTTCTGCAGCCTGAATGAATTCCTCCTCCAAAATGGGCTTTTCTTTTCTACCACATGGCCAGGCTGCAAACTTTATAAACTTTTACACTCTGCTTCTCTTTGAAATATAAGTTCCAATATCAGGTCATTTCTTTGTTCATGCATATGAGATAGACAGAAACAAAGTCATCTCTTGAAGACTTTGCTGCTTAAAAATTTCTTCCACCAGATACACTAAATTATCACACACAAGTTAAAAGTTGCACAGATCCCTAGGGCAGAGACACAATCCAACCAAGTTCTTCACTAAGGCATTACAAAAGTGACCTTTGCTCCAGTTCCCAATAGGTTCCTCATCTCCATCTGAGATCTCCTCAGCCTGGCCATGTCTGTCCATATCACTATTAACATTTTGGTCACAACCATTCAACATGTCTCTAGGAAGTTCCAAAGTTTATCTCACCTTTCTGTCTTCTTCTGAGCTCTCCACACTGTTCCAAGCTTTGCCCATTACCTAGTCCCTAAGCCACTTCCACATTATCAGATATTTTTATAGCAATGTCTCACTCCTTGGTACCAATTTTCTTTATTAGTCTGTTTTTGCACTGTTATAAAGAAATATCTGAGACTGGCTAATTTATAAAGAAAAGATGTTTAATTGGCTCATGATTCTGCAGGCTGTACAGGAAGCATAGTGGTTTCTCCTTCCGGGGGGACCTCAGGAAATTTACAATTATGACAAAAGGCAAACAGACAACAGACATGTCTTACATAGCCAGAACAGAAGCAAGAGAAAAAAGGAGGAGGTGCCACACACTTTTAAATTTTATTTATTTATTTATTTATTTATTTTTTGAGGCAGAGTCTCACTCTATTGCCCAGACTGGAGTGCAGTGGTGCAATCTCAGCTCATTGCAGCCTCTGCCTCAGCTTCCCAAGTAGTTGAGATTAGAGGCACTCACCACCACGCCTGGCTGATTTTTGTATTTTTAGTAGAGATTGGGTTTCACCATGTTGACCAGGCTGGTCTTGAACTGTTGACTTCAGGTGATCCACCCACCTCGGCCTCCCAAAGTGTTGGGATTACAGATGTGAGCCACTATGACCGGTCGAGGTGCCACACACTTTTAAATAACCAGATCTCAAAAGTACTCACTCACTATCACAAGACCAGCATGAAGGAGAAAATCTGCCCTGATGATCCAATCACTTCCCCTCAGGACCCATCTCTAACACTGGGGATTACAAGTCAACATGAGTAATCCCCATGTTGGGGGGACACAGATCCAAACCATATCAGTGTCCTAAAGTGGATTGGAAAAAGTTTCAGAAAACCCAGTGATGGCGATCAATGATCTATCTTATAGTGAGCCTTGACGTGTGACAGGCTTTTTACAAAAATCCTTGTAGTATATAACAGGATGATACTACCATGAGAATAAATTTAGTAAAACATAGTATTATTGATATATAAGATACACCATTTAATATTAAAATTGTGATTTCTTATATTTTGTACAACATTATCAATGTTTTAATCCTCATTAATTAGTATATTTAAATTTAGTACTAATGCAATGTTTCTGCATGTTTTAGTGGTTTATCTTAATAATAGTTTTATACACGATGAAACATCAATTGTGACATACTACCTATGTTAGAAGTCTTAGATAGGAGGTAGTTCTCTGAAAGTGTTCTTTAAAATGTTAGTAAACTTCCTAGAAAATCAAGAATTTTTTTTTTGTAATTTCCTTTAACCAGTGAAAAGGCGATTTTGGCCTTGTTTACAAAATGCGTAAAACAGATTTCATACGTTATAACTTATATTTGGATTGATTCAGTTTCCTCACTTTTCTTTCAATTTATTTTTAATCAGTTTATATTTATTTTCAGATAGAAGAA
The DNA here is from genome assembly GCF_000001405.40 of Homo sapiens. Classification (NCBI taxonomy): domain Eukaryota; kingdom Metazoa; phylum Chordata; class Mammalia; order Primates; family Hominidae; genus Homo; species Homo sapiens. The sequence continues at coordinate 10,304 of NW_003315920.1, read as the reverse complement.
CAATCTCACTGAGCATTAGTTTAATAACCTATTAATTACCTTATTAAAATACTTGTATCCGTAGTCCCAGCTACTCAAAAGGCTGAGGCAGGGGGTTTAGTTGAGCCCAGGAATTTGAGGCCAATGTGGAAAATGTAGCAAGATTCTATCACTAAAAATAAATAAATACACAAGTAAATTTCATCGTAACAATTCTTCTGCCATTTATGTAGCTTGCCTTTAGAGTCTTTCAATGTTCTTCTCTGAAATGTATTTCTATGTGCTTGACTATATCTTCCCGTAATAATGTCAACTTCTGATATGGCACAGATTAGATAGGCTTTGCGAAAAAGGCTGGAATAGTAAAGTTTATTTACTTTTTTGTGTGTAGATTTGTGTTATCCATCTCTTTTTAAATTTTATTTAACTTTTATTTTAGGTTGAAGGGTACATGTGCAGGCATCTCTTGGTGCATTTACAGCTGTGCCATTTTAAAGATGCCATTCCTTAGTGCAGCTACATAATTCATATGGACAAAAAGATGTGATTTTTAGAGGAAGAGTGCTTGCACTCCTTATTTTTTCCTGTCTTTTCAAAAAAAAGACCAGATGTCCCAGAGCAAAACACACTAGGGAATTATTTTTTACCCTCTGCTAGCATGGAAATATTTAGTGCTAGAGTCAAGAGAACTGACAGTTATTTTATAATTTGCAAGAGGAGCAAAGAGCATACTTCAAGTAGAAAATATATATGACACACATAAATAATGAATTCCCTTTATGCATTTTTTCTTTTATTAGGTTCTTAGCTTCGACCAAGTAGCAGGTGAGTAAATCATGATGGATAGGCCCCAAATCTCATATTCCCCAGAGTAGTTTAAGGAGGAGAAATTTTCAAACATAGAGAAGATTCTTCATAAGAATAGTATAAATCCCTTTTCTCAGGGAGCTTGTTATACGTACAGTGTCCTGTTAGTCCTGCAAGTGGGCTTCTGGATTGTTGGTGGCACCCTTAGTTTCTGTCCAACTCTAGAACATTATAGGCCATCGGGAGAGTTCAAGGTACTCTTACTTCTCATCCCCAAGTAGTGGTGGGGATTGGAATTCTCAGCGTGGTGCATGGGTTTTTACATTTCAGGCTTCTACCTGATGTCTACTGACTTCCTCTGTATCTTTCAATCTTATCTAGAAAGGAGGTTCTTCTCCACAAATTAAGGAGACCCCCTCAGGCCCTTCCTCTGCACGCAGTACAAGATTCCACCCAGGACCTCTCCCTAGAAGATGTACCTCTTTGTCTTTTCACCTTCGGTCTTCAAACATGGAGCAGATGCAATAAGATTTGAAAAAAGAAACCTGGACCTGTAGCTCTGTGCCTTAGCAAAATGGTCCTGTGTTCAAGAGCAAAAATTTCTGTAAGCAAGACCTATAGAATGAAGACTTCTGCCCTGTCTGTGGTTAGTGCAAGTTTCACACCAGGAAAATGAAGTTACCCTTACAAAGTTACCCTTACGATGACAACATATGATCCAGGACAGGTTGACTAGAGCAGGGAGTTTTCCATGGGAGAGGTTGGAGCTAGAGTTCAGCATGGTTTCTGTGTGAATGTGTGTTTCTATATGTGTGCAGGGGCAGATGTACTTGAAGGTGCATCTGAATCTGTGTTACAATAATAGATAAATTATTGAGAACTTGAAATCTTAGGCCATTGTCAAAAATTACTTCAAAAATAGCATCTTAAGAAAGCAAGATTGGTATACACAAGGAAGCAGGGAATGAGATGAAAGACAATAATTAGCTTAAGAGGGCATATCTTTACATCTGGAGAATTCTCTAATTTCAAAACTGAAAATACAATTGAAACCAAATACTGTGAGTAGTGTTCTATAGGAAAATTAGCAGAATCTTCACTATGGTGATAAAATTCTTCAGGCCAAGGAAGCAGTCACCTTAAAATTGGTAGGGTAAATCTGAGAGGTCTTTGACTTTCTGCGTTGAGCTTTTTGTGGCTCCACAGCATCCAAGCATGAGGTGCTTTTGCTCATGCCATGTTGAGATAGTGTCAGGTCACCATGGAATAGTGCATTGGAGGAGGTGGGTTCCAGGAAGACTCTGGAAGACAGATGTCCAGTAACATTAGTCTGTCTCATCTTTTGTGTGTGAGAGGATGAAACTCCAATCTTATTTAACCACTTTTTAACCAGTGAACTTTAACAAAAATTCACAAAATAATTAGGGGAGAAAAAAACATACATGGTAAAGGATACAAGGAGAAGATTCACAACAAATTCACAACAGCAAGAAGACAGAAGTAGTAGTATAAACTAGTTTCATTTTCAAATTTTCTAACAAGCAAATAAGTATATATAGAAGTGATAAGATAAATCAAATGTTAACTACATAGATACTATAAGCACGTAAATTAGAGCTTGCAATAAATATTAAATTGTAAGGCGTTTATATCATGTAATATACATTATACTATTATAATGATATACATGTGATAGATTTTAGCAATTGGATTGTCAAGCTTTATAAAATTTTGTTCAAAATCTGTGTTGACTAACTTATTAGGTCCTCAGCAATTCTATAATTTACTTGCTTTTGGAAAGAAAACTGAATAGACCATCTGAAGTCCAATTTGATGATAAAATCAAATCATTGCAAAATTATCGATTCAACAATTAAGAAATAATCTAATACATTTCAAAATTATACTTATATGGCTCTACCTAACTGGCTGTACAAAAATATACAGTCATATTTAGAAATAATATCCATTATAAAACATAAATTAGGGATCTATGATCAAGCAACAAGCATATAATCTCTGAATTTAAAATTGAAGGCATATTATTGAGGATAGACAGACTTGGTTTTTCTGGAATGGGAGTAGATAATTTTAATGTCCAAATCCCTACCCTATTTCTATGTTGCAACTGATGCCACAAAAAGGAAATCTTGTCAGTATATCATACCAATGGAGCCAACACAGTTGATACTATGAGTGCACTGATTAATAGATTTTAATACTTATTGCTATACATGAATTTAAATTTTATTCTTAAGAAGAGCATGAAGATTTAGCCTGACCTACCATCACCTAGGAAGGCATTATTGCTAAAAAGAAATAATGTGAACTTTATATTATGGATTTTCAAACATGCTAAAACATTACCTTAAATTAATATGAACATCTTTCTGTTTTTCAAGATCCAAAAGCAAAGTATTTTATTATCAATAAAATACTTTGTTTTTGTAGTAAAAAATAACATTTTATTCTTTTAGTCAGCAATTCTCAAGATAAACATTATATATTTGATTTTGTTTTTCATTTAAATATTTGCAAGCTCACAGAAAATAAACCTAATTTCTGGGTAAATGTAAATTTTTCTTCCTCAAAAATTACATTATGTGGAGATAGACTCAGTAATCAGATAGCCGCAAGCCCCTGACCATGAATAATCATAGCACCTCACTTTTACCTCTCTTGAAAATTAAAAAAAAAATAACTCCACCTATGTATAGTTACCTTATTTTGGGGGCTTCTACCTCTGTTAGTGGCAATATAATGAATTATTTGGATAGTGTTGCCTTACATTTCATTTTGTAAATGAAACACTGATACAACATTTTATACAGTTTTCTGACAGAGGTAAATTGCAATTAAAAAATGAAGCTTTTATTACAGTGACAATTTTTCACACTGATGGAATTAAGTGTGTGCCAACATTACAATTAAATTTCTTATTTTCAGGAATTTCAAATCAATACATTAAATATGACTTATTCTAGCACTTGGCAAATAATATTTTAGGCAATAAAGAAATTAATCAGAATAGTTTTACAAAGACATTGAAGAAGTAGGATTAGAGACTCAAATAATGGAATGGAAAATGTGTACAGCAGTTCTAAAGTAATTTATATGTGCATATAATTTAAAATGAAGTAACATGTGCTTAATAAAATCATCATGCACCCTTAGACCTATGTCCTAAAGCTATTCAAAAGTGTAATAAAGCAAAAGCCAAAGCAACATTTCATGTATAATAGCCTAGAAAATTAAAAATGTATTCCTTTATTAAATAAGCAAGTAATGTAGATATATTTATACAAAATAATAATGATTTCAGTTTTATTATCTAGAGATTTCTGAATCTGATTCTTGTCCCTAAAATTCCAGTGACCACAGATGTATCTATATAGAGCTAAAAGTATAATATTATCTTTTAAAACTATTAAGGAAAAATACTTTAAATAAAGATAACTATACAGTCTGGAGAAAAATAAAAACAAAAACCTGAATGTAGTGTAGGATGAAGAAATGCAGTCAGATTCTAAAAGGAAGTGAACATTTGCAAGAACAGAATGGCAGAAGCTAAATTTCTTGTCTTTAGCATCTTATAGCTGGAAGGCATGCTGCAGTTCACCATATACAGCAGCTAAAACTCTGATAGAATGCCCACAAAAGAAGCCAAAGGGAGAGATAGGGACAACCACAGATGCTGCAAAATGTGTGTAAGTATCTAGGAGGGCTGTACCATGGGAAAGAGAGTCAGAGACAGATAGACATGTGTTCTACTCATAAACCCTGCAACAGCCTCTGGCTCATCCCTGAGCCACTTATGCATAGGACAAAGTCAAAGGAGCTCAGTATAGGATAAAATGCCTCAACTCTAAGATTCTATCCAAGAGATAGCATTTCCAGATTAAACCCAGCTGACTTATTTGTTGCTGAAACAAGCAAACAAATGAGAATCTCAACACTATCTAGTGGACTACAACAGAATTCAAATAGCACATAGCGTAGCATTCACAAAGCATAGGATACAATTTAAAATTACCAGACTTGGAAGAAACAGAGAAATGTGTCACTTTCTCAAGAGAAAGGCAGCAGATAATAACTCTGAAATAACTGAGATGTTGGATGTATCACACTAAGATTTTTTTTACGCATGAATTTTCATTATGTTTAATGTAAAGAAAGAATGTTTGCTATAAATGAAAAGTTAAAAGAATATCCATAGGAGATTGGAACAAATAAACACAAATGAAAAGAAAATTCTGGAATAGTGGAAATATATCTGAAATAAAAAATGCATTGATGGATAGCACAGCGAGGATTGTAATAGCTTGCTATGGCTGTCGTAGTAAAGTGTCACGATGTTGGTGGCTTACACAACAGAAATTTTTTTTCTTACAGTTCTGAAGCCCAGAAATCCACGATTAAGGGTTGTCAGGTATAGTTCCTTCTGAAGGGTATGAGGAAGAATTTGTTTCATGCCTCTTCCTTAGTGTCTTAGTCAGCTTGGGCTACATTAACAAATTACCATAGACTGGGTGGCTTAAACAACACATGTATTTCTCACAGTCTGGAAGCTGGGAAGTCCAAGATCAATGTGCTGGCATATTGTATCCTCACATAATAGTGAGCAGAGAGATGAAGCAAACTCTCTCAGGCCTTTCCTTCTAAGAGCACTAATCCTATTCCTAGGGCCTCACCCTCATGATCTAATTACCTCCCAAAGTCCCTACCTCTAAATGCTGTCACATGGAGGATAGTCTTTAACATATGAATTTTAGGGGGATAAAAACATTTGGTTCATAGCACCTTGCTTCTGGGAGTTGCTGGCAATGCTTGACATTCCTTAGCTTGAGAAAACATTTTCCCAATCTCTGCTTAATTCCATATGCCATTCTTCTCCTGTGTGTCTGTGTCCAAAATCTCCCTTTATATAAGAACACTAATCATATTGGAGTAAAGTCCAAGAGAATGACCTCATTTTACATTAACTAATTACCTCTGCAGTGACCCTATTCCCAAATAAGGTTCTTAGATGCTAGGGTTTAGTACATATAAATTTCAGGGGAAACAATTCAAAAAGAACAAATTAATTAAAAAAGAATTAATTTATCTTTATGTTACTCAATAACAAAAAGAAATTAATGAAAATTTTCTGGAAAAATAGACAAAATGATTTAAAAAAAGAATACACAAAAGAACATCCCCTCATGAAATCTTTGGGGAGTATTCAAAGATCTAACAAGAATGTAACAAGAATCCACAGGAGAGAAGAGAAAAAGCAAATGTGGCTTTAAACAAAGGATTTGAAGAAATCGTGACTGATAATTTCACAAAAATGGTGTGGGGCAAGAATTTACGGTTTTATGAATAAGAGTGCACCACAAGAAAAATAAAGTCAAATTAAGGTAGGCAAGATGATAAAAAACAAAGATGTAAAATTTTGAAAGTAGCCAGATTAAAAGAGCACATTACTGAAGAACAAGAAATTGAATAACTGATGACTTCTAATCATAAACAGTAATGCCATTGACCAATATTTTTAACATGTGAAAAGAAAAAAATTACCAATAGAGAATTCTATATCCAATAAAAACACCTTTCAATAATAAAAGTGGAATGAAAATATATATCCTCATATGTAATCATATTATAAAACATAAGAAAATTCTAATATACTTCCAGAATGTGCTATAATATTGTCATATTTCATATAGGTAGCAGGAATTACATTACTATGAACACTAAAGATCCAAATAAAATAATTAACAAACTGTTCTTTACAATTGCACATTAAACACTTATAAAAATTGAGATTGAGAACCATGTTGAATACAAATTGCAAAGGATGATCATAATTCAATGTTCCCCAGCCACATTGAATTAAGCTGTACATTAATAACACAGGTTTAACTAAAAGCATCATTACATAGACATTATAATATATTTATAAATAATCTATATGTCTTAAAAGAATGCAAAAGAGAAAGAAAATATTTCAAAATGAATAAAAACATACCACATTTTATTGTGTTTCACTTTACTATGCTTCACAGATATTACATTTTTTACAAATTCAAAGTTTGTGGCAATCCTGCATCAAGCAAGTCTATCAGTGCCATTTTTTTTTCAACAGCCTGTGAAGGTAGCTACACTAAAAAGCAGATTTTCAATGTAGACACAACAGCCTTCTATTGGGAGAAGATACCATCTAGAAATTTCATAGCTTGAGAGAAGAAATGAATGCCTGGCTTCAAAGGACAGGCTAATTCTCTTGTTAGGGGCTAATGCAGCTGGTGACTTTAAGTTGAAGTCAAATCTCATTTATCGTTCTGAAAATTCTAGGACCCTTAACAAGTATGCTAGTTATCTGCCTGTGATTTATAAATGGAACAACAAAGTCTGAATGAGAGGACATCTGTACAGCAATGCTTACTGAATATTTTAAACCGTGTTGAGACCTACTGTTCAGAGAAAAAAAGATTTCTTCACTATATTACTTCTCATTGAAAATGCAACTGGTCATCCAAGAGCTCTGATGGAGATTTACGAAGAGAATAATGTGTTTTCATGTCTGTTAACACAACATCCATTCCGCAGCCCATGGGTCAAGGTGTCATTTCAACTTTCAAGTCTCATTATTTAAGATACACATTTTGTAAGGCTATAGGTGCCATATATAGTGATTCTTCTGATGGATCTGTGCAAAGGAAATGGAAAATCTTCTGTAAAAGATTCAACATTCTAGATGCCATTAAGAACATTCATGATTCATGGGAGGTCAAATTTCAACATTAACAGGAGCTTGCGAAAAATTCACTCTAACCCTCATGAATGATTTTGAGGGGTTTAAGACTTTAGTGGAGAAAGTAAGTTACAGATGTGGTGAAAATAGCAAGAGAACTAGAATTAAAAGGGGAACCTAAGGATGTTACTGAATTGCTTCAGTCTCATGATAAAAATTGTATGGATGATGAGTTGTTTCTCATGGATGAGAAAAGAAAGAGATTTTCTGAGGTAAAGTCCACTCCTGCTGAAGACGCTTTGTATGTTTTTGAAATGACAACAGATGAATTGGAATATTACATAAACTTGTTTGATAAACCAGCAGGATTTGAGAGTATTGACTCCAATTTTAAATGAGGTTCTACTGTGGGTAAAATGCTATCAAACCGCAATATATGCTACACAGAAACTTTTCATGAAAAGAGTCAATCAATGTGGCAAATTTTATTGGCATCTTATTTTAAGAAATCGACACAGCAGACCGGGCGTGGTAGCTCACGCCTGTAATCACAGAACTTTGGGAGGCCGAGGCTGGAGGATCACCTGAGGTCAGGGATTTGAGACCAGCCTGGCCAACGTGGTGAAATTCCCTCTCTACTAAAAATTCAAAAAAGTAGCCGGGCATGGTGGCGTGTGCCTGTAGTCTCACCTACTGAGGAGGCTGAGGCACAAGAATCCCTTGAACCCAGGAGGTAACAGTTAAAGTGAGCCAAGATTGTGACACTGCACTCCAGCGTGGGTGACAGAGTGAAACTCCATCTCAAAAAAGAAAAAAATAAATCGACACAGCTACCCCAACCTTCAGCAATCACCACCCCGATTAGTCAGCAGCCATCAACATTAGACAAGATCCTCTACCAGCAAAAAGATTATGACTTGCTGAAGGCTCAGATCATTAGCATTTTTAGCAACAATGTATTTTTCAATTAAGGTACATACAGGTTTTTAAATATAATGCTATCGTATGCTAAGTAGACTACAGTATAGTGTAAACTTACCTTTCATATGAATGGAGAAATAAAAGTTGTGTGACTGGCTTTATTTCAGTATTTGCTTTGTTGTGGTAGTCTGGACTAAACCTGCAATATCTCCGAGGTTTGCCTGTAATAGTGAAAGTACAACCATATATTAAAATTTGTAGGATATATTAAAATCTGTTAAGTTATGCTTGTAGAGAAATTCATAGGCATAATACATAGAATCTCATATGTATATATAACACATTTATTTTGGACAAATAGGTAAGAAAAAAATAAAAATACAAATCCAATAATCTTACATTAGTAAAATGGAATAATAAAATCAAATTCAAACTATGGTGCTAGAAAAAGTAATTACTATAAAAGGAATACTATTAATAAAAAATACCAATTTTTGGCTTACTTATTTATCATCATTTCCTTACCCTTTTCATTTTCCCCTACCCATGCTCATCTTCCCTTTCACCTCTGTTACCTGCCAGAACAGAGATGTTCAAGGAGGCAGAGCAGTGAGTAGGTGAGGGTGCCATGTACAGGCATTGGCTTGCCTGGGTGCCTAGGACATAAAGTGGGGACGGGAGACAACACGGTTATCTCAGACAAAGGAGATATCTGAGTAATTGAAGACTCCATTGCAGTGAGCAAACAAATTACGTGATTTAAGATGATTATCTATCAATCAAGCAATCCTCTCTCTTTCTCTCTCTATTCACCTATCTACTTATCTATCATCTATCTATTTTCCCACAGTCCTTTCAGAGAAAGCGTTTACACATGAAAAGTCCAAAGACTGGAAAGTACTCTCAGATGTTCTGTTAGAACTGCAGTAGGTATTATCTTTACAAATGTATCAGTAATAACTGTTAGGTATTTAAATAATTGTATATAAATAAAGATGCAGAAATATTTATGCATATAAAATACATACATATAAAATACATAATAGTTATACATCTTCGTCTCTGTGTATTTTCATTTCTATGTGATTATGCATACCTCCATACCCCTAGGTCTGTCCACAGGGAAAGCCAGGCAGATTGACGCCTTTAAGCAATAGGTGCAACAGAGGGTCCATAGCTTGCTCTCCAAATTCCAAATTCCTTGGGTCCAAATTATTTGGGTCAAGGGACCCAAGGCTTCTTGAAGGAATAGGTGAATCCAAGACTGAGGCACATGAATCCTAGACATCAGGTACATAATAAGTGGAAAACATTACGTTGGAAAGAAAGCAAATGCTCTAAAAATGATGTAAATAGGTTTTTGAAAACGATACGAACAAACAAAAACTCAGAAAATAGTTTGACAGGGCTCTCACTGCCCAAATCTAGTACAAACTGAGCATAAACAAAATGAATGAATATAATTAACAAAAAGGGAGAGGCCGGGCATGGTGGCTCACACCTGTAATCCCAGCACTTTGGCAGACCGAGGTGGGTGGATCACAAAGTCAGGGGTTCGAGATCAGCCTGGCCAACGTGGCGAAACCGCGTCTCTACAAAAATACAAAAATTGGGTGCAGTGGCAGGCACCTATAATCCCAGCTACTCAGGAGGCTGAGGCAGGATAATTACTTGAACCCTGGAGGCAGAGGTTGCAGTGAGCCGAGGTGGCGCAATTGCATTCCAGCCTGTGAGAAAGAGTGAAACTCCATTTCAAAAAAAAAAAAAAAAAAAAAAAGGGAGAAATTGCAGAAAAAACTTAATGAAATTCAACAATGATTCATTAAAAAATCTTCTAGCAAGTTAGTAATTTAAGGAATTC
>NT_187550.1:0-126136 GCF_000001405.40 Homo sapiens | reverse complement strand
CAGCTACCGCAGACCCAGCGGCGCCTACCAGGGGCCGCAGCGGAGCACAGTCCCCGGCAAGACACCGGTCGCAACGTCCTGGGGCAACGGAAGTCACGAGACACGTGAAGTGGGAATGTGGCCCAGCTCAAATCAGAGGAGAACGCAAGATGGTCAGACCCTGGAATCAGCAGACAAGGGCCTAAAACAGCAGCTCAAGGATAGAAAAGAAACGTTCTCATAACCACTTAAAAAGGACAAGCCGCAGCGGTGGAGTGGAACAGGGCTTGGCACATTTTTTCTTAAAGGCAGATTGTGAGTATTTTAGGTCCTGCAAGCTGCCAACAGGAGGATCACTTCATAACCACTCACTACCAGTGAGGCCGAAAGCCGCTGTAACGACACAGACGGGCGCCGAAAGCCGCCGTAATGACACAGATGGGCGCTGTGTTCCAGTGAAACTTTACCACTCACTACCAGTGAGGCCGAAAGCCGCCGTAACGACACAGATGGGCGCTGTGTTCCAGTGAAACTTTACCACTCACTACCACTGAGGCCGAAAGCCGCTGTAACGACACAGATGGGCGTTCCAGTGAAACTTTATTTACAACAACCAGTGGCCGGCCCACGGGCTGTAGTTTGCTGATGCCTAAAATAGAACTTATCAAAGAGAACCAAGCAGAAACCCTAGAATCTCTGACATAAAAACTCAATGGATAGACTTACGAGCAGACAGAAATGACAGTAAAGAGAGTGAACTGGAAGACAGATCAGAAGAAATCATCCCATCGGAAGACCAAGGAGAAAAAATGGTTTTTAAAGTAACCAGAGCCTCAGTGGCCTGTGGGGCAAAATCAATAGCTTGTAGCCGCAGCACTTTGGGAGGCCAAGGCAGGAGGATCGCTTGAACCCAGGAGTTCAAGACCAGCCTGGGCAACACAGCAAAACCCCTTCTCGACAAAATAAATTAAAACATTAGCTGAGCCTGGTGGTTTGTGCCCATAGTCCCAGCTACTCAGGGGGCTGAGGCCAGAGGGTCCATTGAGCCTGGGCGGGTTGAGGCTGCACCCCAGTCTGGGTGACAGTGAGCGAGGCCCCCATCCTTGCCCAGAAAAAGGCCTGATATATGTGTAGCTGGAGCTCTGGAAGGAAGGGAGAATGGGGCGGGGAAACCTTGAAGAGCGAATGGTAAAAAATGTCCCCAGTTTGGTGAAAGACACACATTTATAGATTTGAGAAATTTTGCAAGCTCCAAGCAATGCAAGTACAGGGAAAATCCTGCCTGTGGGCACGGCACAGTCAGACTGCTGAAAATCAAAAACAAATGGAGAATCTTTCCATCTGTATAATGTGTGTGAGTTACCAATAAAGAACTTTCTTCTTGTTCCATGAAATGGGCAAGGAAGGCGTGTCTGCTGGAAATCTCATCCACGGCTGTGGTTTCTCCTGAATCGGCGAATCGTCTGCGCGAGGCTGGGGCCTCTGGACAGAAGACTGGGCCCCCAGAGCTCTTGGGGGGTTCCCATCTTCACCCGGTGCCTGGATTCTCAGGGTCCCACCCACCCCCACCTTCCTCACACTTCACCCTCTCTTCTCTCTTGCCCTTATAAAATCATTCACTTCAAAGTAGAAATTATGAAACCGTCTTCATCAATCACGGAAGTTTAGCATTCCCCGTGTTTTTGCCTTTGGTTTATCAACAACTAAACAAGGGAAGGGAACAAGCTTCTGCAGAAGCTTCCAGCAAGGAGACAGCGTCCTATATGAGGCGCCTGGGGAGGGAAGGTGCCGGAAGGCATCGCTGTGGGGCTGCCGCCAGCTCCGGAACCCCCGGGAACCCAAGGGGCACACGTCTCCCCGTGTTCTTGCAGCCCCCGCGTCCCGTGACCCACCCAGGAGGTGTGACCTGCCCTCCTTGCTTCAGGCTCCCCTCTGTAAAGTGAGGAAATAGCCCCCCGGGGCTGCAGCCAGGGCCCAGGGCGGTGGACATGCAGGGTCCAGGACTGGCTGAACCTTGAGCCGCTGCAGGGGCCGTTGGATTTGGCCCTCGGGAGAGAACTCCACAGCCTCCTCCAGTGTGTCCGGCGGCGGCAGCCAGGGAGGGTGCCGGGACCTTCAGACCACACAGCAAGCGGCCAGATCTCAGGCTCCCCGGGCTCACGGCCCCGCTGCCTCCTCCTGTCACCCCCGGGTGAGCCCAGAGGGCTCGGGGTGGGGACAGCAGACAAACCCTCAGCTGCTGGGCAGTGCCTCCCTCTGGGGCCATGGGCACCGGGACCTGCACCCCTCAGCGCTGTGAGGCCACTGTCTCTAAACGTGGGGGCTGAAGGGGAAGGGGTGTTCGTGCCCAGCTCCTGGCCGGCCACCGACATGGCCCCTTCATGGGGGCCGGGCCAGAGGCTCAGAAGGGGAGGGCAGGGGTGCGGCTGGTTGAGTGGCATACAGCGGGGGCTCACACCTCGGCTAGCAAAGTGGCTCCCAGACCCGGACGCCTGTGCCTGGAAGAGCAGCAGACGCCTGCAGGGCACAGTGGCCACGTGGGCGCCACACAGAGCCCAGTGCTGAGAAGCAGGGGCCAGCAGCTGCCACCCCTCCCCTGCTTTCCCTGTGCAAATGGGAAAAGGCCTCAGAACAGCGTGGACGCAGTGACCCCTTTAACAGAATGAGGGGATGGAATCCCGGGTGGCTGGAGACCTGGACAAATGAGAAACAGCATCCTCCTCCATTTTTAGCTTCAGAGGCTCTTAAGGGAGGGAGGCTGCTGTGGGAGGAGCATCTGGATGTGTGCTGGGGGGTGACCATCGAGGGGGGTGGGGGAGAGTGACCATGGGGGGGGGAGAGTGACTGTGGGGGGGTGGGGAGTGACCACGGGGTGAAGAGTGACTGTAGGAGGGTGGGGAGTGACCACGGAGAGGGGAGAGTGACTGTAGGGGGGTGGGGAGTGACCATGGAAGGGGGAGAGTGACTGTTGGGGGGTGGGGAGTGACCGCGGGGTGAAGAGTGACTGTAGGAGGGTGGGGAGTGACCATGGAAGGGGGAGAGTGACTGTTGGGGGGTGGAGAGTGACCACAGAGGGGAGAGTGACTGTGGGGGGGTGGGGAGTGACCACGGGGGGAGAGTGACTGGGGGGGTGGGGTGGGGAGTGACCACGGAGGTGAGAGTGACTGTGGGGGGGTGGGGAGTGACCATGGAAGGGGGAGAGTGACTGTGGGGGGTGGAGAGTGACCACAGAGGGGAGAGTGACTGTGGGGGGGTGGGGAGTGACCACGGGGGGAGAGTGACTGGGGGGTGGGGTGGAGAGTGACCACGGAGAGGGGAGAGTGACTGTGGGGGGGTGGGGAGTGACCAAGGTGGGGAGAGTGGCTGTGGGGGGTGGGTGGGGAGTGACCATGTGGGGGGAGAGTGACCATTGTGGGGGTGGGGAAAGTGGCCATGTTGGGAGGGGAGTGACTACCACGGAGATGAAATTAATGTGAACCACTGAGGCAAAGGCATGAGGCCCCCTCACTTTGGGGTGGGGTTAGGGTTGGGGTGCAGGTGGAGCCTCTGAAAGGCTTTGAGGAGTTTGCAAATGCCCTGCAGGGGAGCAACTTCAGGTCTCGCTGACCTTTATCCCTCAGGAGAGGATCTCCAGTGAGGCTGTGCTCTCCGGGAATTCTTTTGTGCAGGTAGACGGTGAGGGCAGCTTCCCAAGCCTGTTAACTGCACCTGTGCCTGCTCACGTGGCCACAGCCGCCACTATCAAGGAGCTCTGGGTCCTGCCCGCGAAGCCAGGACTTTGTCACGAGCTTTGCCCGGACGCAGCAGCCGGAAGCGGTTGGGAGGATTGATTCTTGATATTGATGCCACCCAGAGAGGACAAAGGTGGAAAGACACACGAAAGGGGCCCGAGACGGGGGCTGGAGACGCGCGGAACCCGGGCTGCGGAGAGGGTGCTGGGGTGCGCGGCAGGGCCAGGGCAGCCCGCACAGGGCGCATTCTCACGCGAGGTGTGCCCCGTGTCTCCATCATTTGCCCCAAATGCAGGAGGGCCCGGGGTCCTCCCGAGGGGCCCCATGCTGCTCCCTGTCCTGTGGGGCCACCCTGCCAAGCGGGGCACCACTCCAGAGCTGGGACAGCAGCAAACCAGAGCCAGACCCCACAGGTTCCCCACCTTCTGGGCGCTGCTCCCAGGGACCTGTCTGGCCACTTCCCAGCAGGCTGTTTTAACCCGTGCAGAGCTGGTTTCCTATGATAATCTCGACTTTTCTGGGCAGTTGTAAAGACTGAAAATCAGACTCCTTCAGAGAGAGTGGGTTGACTTTGTTCTCAAACCCAAGGAAAACGAAGGATAAAACGTGTTATTTATTATCCTTGTTTTAAAGTTATTGGGGGCCGGGCGCGGTGGCTCACGCCTGTAATCTCAGCACTTTGGGAGGCCAAGGTGGGTGGATCACAAGGTCATGAGATCGAGACCAGCCTGGCCAATATGGAGAAACAAAACAAAAAAAAAATACAAAATACAAAAATTAGCCAGGAGTGGTGGCAGACACCTGTAGTCCCAGCTACTCGGGAGGCTGAGGCAGGAGAATCGCTTGAACCCGGGAGGTGGAGATTGTGGTGAGCCGAGATCGAGATTGGGCCACTGCACTCCAGCCTGGGAGACAGAGTGATACTGTCTCAAAAAATAAATAAATAAATAAATAAATAAATAAATAAATAAATAAATAAAGTTATTGGGTCAGGTAAGAAGGAGGGATCCGGCTGCTGCTTCTTTTTTTTTTTTTTTTTTTTGAGACGGAGTCTGGCTCTGTTGCCCAGGCTGGAGTGCGGTGGCGCGATCTGGGCTCACTGCAAGCTCCGCTCCCGGGTTCACGCCATTCTCCTGCCTCAGCCTCCCGAGTAGCTGGGACTACAGGCGCCCGCCACCACGCCCAGCTAATTTTTTGTATTTTTAGTAGAGACGGGGTTTCACCGTTTTTTTTTTCTTAAATAGTGTCTAGCTCTGTTGCCCAGGCGAGCACCACCAGGCCTGGCTAATTTTACTATTTTTTGTAGAGATTTTTTTCACCATGTTGCCCATGCTGGTCTAAAACTCTTGGGCTCATGTGATCCTCCAGCCGCGGCTTCCCAAAGTGCTGGGATTACAGGTGTGAGCCACCGCGCCCATTCTGGGGGGATCCAAAGACACTGGCACCCCATCCTCAACCCCCAACACCCCAATCCCTGCCCCACAGACGCCCGAATCCCCACCCCACAGTCGACACCCGAATCCCCACAGACGCCCGAATCCCCACCCCGCAGACGCCCGAATCTCCACCCCGCAGACGCCCGAATCCCCACCCCACAGACGCCCGAATCCCCACCCCACAGACGCCCGAATCCCCACCCCACAGACGCCCGAATCCCCACCCCACAGACGCCCGAATCCTCACCCCACAGACGCCCAAATCCCCACCCCACAGACGCCCGAATCTCCACCCCACAGACGCCCGAATCCTCACCCCACAGACGCCCGAATCCCCACCCCACAGACGCCCGAATCTCCACCCCACAGACGCCCGAATCCCCACCCCACAGACGCCCGAATCTCCACCCCACAGACGCCTGAATCTCCCCGCTACACCCAAATGCCCACCCACACCCATGTGGCTCCAGTTCCCATTCGGCTTCTTGGCGCCCGCCCCTCACACCAGTGGAGCCAGGGGAAGGGGTGACCAGTGCTCAGGCGCGGAGCCCAGCTATGGAATCACAAGCAGCCCAGAGCGCGCCCGGGATGGAGATGCCGCAGGGAGACGCAGGCCTCAGGATGGAGTAGCCGCAGGCAGACGCAGTCCTCAGCGCGCCAGGGATGGAGATGCCGCAGAGAGACGCAGCCCATAGTGTGCCCGGGATGGAGATGCCGCAGGGAGACGCAGCCCACAGTCTGCCGGGGATAGAGATGCCGCAGGGAGACGCAGGCCTCAGCGCGCCCGGGGATGGAGATGCCGCAGGGAAACTCAGGCCTCAGCGCGCCCGGGGATGGAGATGCCGCAGGGAGACGCAGCCCATAGCGCGCCTGGGATGGAGATGCCGCAGGGAGACACAGCCCATAGTGTGCCCGGGATGGAGATGCCGCAGGGAGACACAGCCCATAGTGTGCCCGGGATGGAGATGCCGCAGGGAAACTCAGGCCTCAGCGCGCCCGGGGATGGAGATGCCGCAGGGAGACGCAGCCCATAGCGCGCCTGGGATGGAGATGCCGCGGGGAGACACAGCCCATAGCGCGCCCGGGATGGAGATGCCGCAGGGAGACGCAGGCCTCAGCATCACCATCGCCCCCACGCCGTAAAGGACAAGGACATTAGAGAGGAAGACCTCCCGGGAGTCACACATGAGAACTAAAGTTTAAAACTCAACAGAGGATTGAAAGAGGAGGTTAAGAATTTCTCTCAGGCCACAGGTGGTGGCTCACACCTGTGATCCCAGCACTTTGGGAGGCTAACGCAGGAGAATCGCTTGAGCCCAGGAGTTCCAGACCAGCCTGGGCATCATAGTGAGACCCCGTCTCTACAAAATACAAAAACTAGCCAGGCATGGTGGTGCTTTGCCTGTGGTCCCAGCTACTTGGGAGGCTGAGGCAGTAGGATCACTTGAGCCTGGGAGGTGGAGGCTGCTGTGAGCTGAGATCGCACCACTGCATTCCAGCCTGGGTGATAGAGCCAGATCCTGTCTCAAAAAAAAAAAAAATTATCTCAGAAGATAGAGAAAAAAAGACACATAAAGAAAATGTAGGGCCAGGCACAGTGGCCACACCTGTGATCCCACCACTTTGGGAGGCTAATGGTGGAGCGGATCACTTGAGGCCAGGAGTTAAAGACCAGCCTGGGCAGCATGGTGAAACTCTGTCTCTACTAAAGTAAATTACAAAAATTAGCTGGGTACCGTGGCGCATGCCTGTAATCCCAGCTACTCAGAAGGCTGAGGCATAAGAATCGCTTGAAGCCAAGAGGTGGAGGCTGCAGTGAGCTGAGCTCATGCCACTGCACTGCAGCCTGGGCGAGAGAGTGAGATGGAAGGAAGGAAGGAGGGAGGGAGGGAAGGAGGGAGGGAGGGAGGGAAAGAAGGAAGGAAGGGAGGGAGGGAGGGAGGAAGGAAGGGTTTGAGGGCAGAGTAGGCTGGTCCCATGTGGGCCGAACGTGGAACCCTGGAACTCAGGCGTGGGCAGAAGATGGAGAACCGCGGACAGGCATCACCACAGCCATTCCCAAAACCAAGCTTGCGGTTCCAGACTCAGTGAACTGCCAGGGACCTGGCACAGCAGGTGAAGTTAGCTGTACCCCAAAGCATGTCAGGGAGTGAGAGGAGAATGGGGTGCGGGGAGGGGGAGGAGGCCTCCTGCAAAGAACCAGGAATGAGGAAGGCCTCCGTGTCTCGCATGGATGCCAGAAGAAGCTGGCACAGGGCCTGATGATTTGGAAGGGAAACCAGTTCCCGCGGCGCGAATCAAGCAAGGCAAAGGCATCTCAGAGGGGCCCTGCGGGCAGCCGGCGTTGTCCCTCCTGCAGTCAGCGCTCCACTGCCCCACACTCAGCTGGCTTCCCAGGGCCTGAGCAAGGATGGGGGAGGCTTCGGGAGAAGAGGGGCTCCAACGATGTGGAGGAGAATGTGTTGGGGAGACAGGTGCTGGGCTGGACCGGGGAGCCGCTGGAGGCCTGGGGGCATTGGAAGCAGGAGGATCCGTGGGTGCTTGGGCCCCTGGCGGAGCGCGGCAGCTTGTTGGGAGCTGGGAGCAGAGCCACTTACTGTGAGCTCAGAGAGGCTGCCAAGAGCAGCGACAGAGACCATCGTTCCCTCCAGGCAAAGCCAGATGCTGTGTGGGAAAGGAAACGTGGCCGTACGCTGCCACGGAGCTCTAAGGTGTTCGTGTGGGACGGAAGCACTGGTGGAAAGGCCAGAACCCGTGGGACACACCCTCGAGAGCCGCCGGCAGCACGCTTGGTCCCGGCCTGGAGACAGGGGCCAGCACAGTCAGGCTCTCTCTGAGCCCAGGGGTGGAGACCTCACTGGGCTTTACTGTGGTGACCACTGGGGAGCGGGGCCCAGGGGACAAGGTGGGCAGGGGCTGCTGTTTTCTCGAGTGAACCCTAGAACTACTTGATTTTTCATCTGACAAAGCTAACAGAGGAAAAGATGAGGCCCATGGATGCATGAGCTCTCTGCCTGGCAGGCAAACATGCCCAGTGCATTTTCAGGCATTTGCTGAGGGCCCGCTACCCACAGGCTGGAACAGACTCAGCCCGGAAAGGCCCAGGCAGGCGGCCGTGGATGCCATCTCCTGTGAGTCGATGGGGTCAGCTGCCTGGGGAATCCTGCGGGGGGAAGGCGAGGGAAATGGAGGTGGAGGAGCTGTGGGAAAGGCCAGGGCTGCTGGGTGCAGGGGTGGGCGGGAAGATGCACCAGCAGCACACGCAGCTTTCTCTAGGCACTGCTGTGCTCCAAGACCTCCTGTGGCTCCCACTGTCTCATAGCTGTGCCTGGACACCTGCTGCCCCACCAGGTCTTCCTGTGTCTCCCCTGGCCACAGCCCTTCTTCCTGTCTCTGCAGGTCCCACCCTGCATTCTTGTAACCTCCCATCACGACTCCCTCCAGCCTCATAATAAGGGCTCAGATACCTGCCCATCCACATGTGAGATCCCAAAATATCGAACACACACCAGCAAAACTGTGAGCCGCAAGGAGAGCACTTTGGTCCCACTGGCCTTGCTGGGCAGGGGCAAGAGTGTCTCACTGTTCTCGGATGGCAAGGCCGGCATTTAAGTGGACAAAAGACCTAAATGTAAAAGACAGAACTATAAAATTTCTAGAAGATAGCATGGAAGAAAAGCTACATAACCTTGGGTTTGGTGATGAATTTTTAGATCAACACCAAAAGCATGAGCTATAAAAGAAAAAATTGGTAAGTTGGACTTTATTAAAATTAAAAACTTTTTCTCTGCAAAAGAAGACATTTGCAAAACACATATCTCCTAAAGAGTTTATCATTCAAACATACAAAGGACTCTAAAAACTCATAGGAAAAATAAACAACCCAGTGAGAAATGAGCCAAACATCTGGGCAGACCCCACACCAAAGACAGGCAGATGGCAAGTAAGCCCCTGAAATATGCACGACAGCCCATGTCATGGCGGAGCTGCAAATTAAAACACACGGAGACACCACCACGTACCCGTCAGCGTGGCCGAAACCCAGGACACGGATAGCACCGAAGGCTGGCGAGGATGTGGCCACAGGAGTGTGCACCCAGCACTGCTGGAGGCACAGGGTGGCGCGGCCACTTGGAAGACAGCGTGGCAGTTTCCTACAAACCTAAGCAGGCCATGACCAGAAAACTCAACGGTCAGGCCCGCAGGAGTTGAAATCCTCCGTCTACACAAAAGCCTGCACATGGAGGTTTATAGCAGCTTTATTCATAATCACCAAAATCACCTGGAAGCAGCTGAGATGTCCTTCAGTAGATGGATAGATCCAGACAGTGGAATATCATTCAGTGCTAAAAAGAAATGAGCTGTCAAGCCATGAATAGACACGGAGGAAACACAGATGCAATGACTAAGTGAAAGAAGCCGCTTTGAGAAGGCTGCACGCTATAGGTTTCTAACTACACGACATTCTGGAAAAGGCACAACTATGGAGACAGTAGAAAGATCAGTGGTTGCCACGGGTTAGGGGGAGAGAGGGATGAACAGGCAGAGCACAGAAGATTTTTAGGGCAGTGAAGCTCCTCTGGATGAGACTGTAATGCTGGATCCATGTCGTTGTACCCATGTCCAAACTCACAGAAGTGTAACACCAAGAATGAGACCTAATGTAAACTGTGGACCTTAATTAATAATAATGTACCAAGAACGAGCCCTAACGTAAACCGTGGACCTTAATTAATAATGTATCAAGAATGAGCCCTAATATAAACTGTGGACCTTAATTAATAATAATGTATCAAGAACGAGCCCTAACGTAAACCGTGGACCTTAATTAATAATAATGTATCAAGAATGAGCCCTAATATAAACTGTGGACCTTAATTAATAATAATGTATCAAGAATGAGCCCTAATATAAACTGTGGACCTTAATTAATAATAATGTATCAAGAGTGGCTAAACTATGACAAATGTATCACACCAATGCCACCTGTTAATAGGGGGAGTGGGGGGTGGAACGGCTGGGGTGTGGCTGGAGGGAACTTGATACTATCAGCTCAATATTCTGTAAATCTACAACTTTACTAAGAAATTTAAGTCTATTCGTTTTCTAAGAAAGGGTGTCCCCGAAGCTGTTGGGGGGGCACTCCTTTTGGGGTGAGCTGGAGAAGGCCAGGCTGAGGGGACCAGGACAGCATTCCAGGCAGAGAACGTGCACGGTGGGCAGGCTGAGTCCTGGCGGAGCCCAGGCTGCGGCACCCCTGGAGGAAGGGCTGGGCGTGCAGAGGCCCAGCAGCCAGTCTCATCCTGACCCACCTATCAATTCTGACTCCACGGTGCTGACACTACTGTCCGGCGTCACCAAGATCAGAGCAAATACCAGTCCCACTTTTCACTGGAAGATAAGAGGGGGAAAGGCGGTTACAGAGGTTTCCACTGCAGCAAAACCCGAGACAGCAGAAACTGGGGCTGGAGAATTGCCTCCTGCAGCGATACTGAGACTTAGGAACCTGGGCACCAGGAGGGTGAGGGAGGGGGGCGTGCACCTACTGTGAGCTGCGTGGTGTGGGCTGGGACCACTGAGATGCCAGCTGCTGCAGACTCCAGCAGACCACAAAGCCAGGGGTGCTTTTGGAACATGATAGTGGCACTGGTTACAGCCGGGATGTGGCATCCCCTTTGGAGTTTTGGATTGGCAACATTTACCATGGGCAGTATCTGGGAGCTTCATTTTGTTGATGCTTTTTGGGAAGGAGAAAGGCCGGGAGGAAGGCTGGCAAATGGCACAGCCGCTGTGCCGGGACGCAGGTGCTAGATGGGCCTTCACACATGGGAGCCCCCACCCCCTGCTCTAACAGAGCTCAAGTGCCCCCTAAAAGCACGTGGCCCCTCTGCGGATGCAGAGTTGGGCGGGAGGAGAGCGCCAGGTGCACGAGTGATACCCAGGGTCTGTGCCACTGGGGTGTGCAGGGCAGAGAACGCGTCAGCCCCATGGACAGTTGGGTGGGTCCTGGCCACGGGGTCCCTGAGACACAGTGGATGCTGAGACGGCCACGTCTGACTTCACAGCACACACATGCCACCTCCATGGGACACACGTGCTCCTCAGGGGCCCAGGGACAGCTCTGGTGGGCAGACAGCAGCCCCGGGCCACCCTCGCCTTCTCCCCCTGTGATGGTACACAGTAAGAATGAGGAAGTAGTTCCTGACAGCTCCTTCTCAGGAAGCTTTAACTTCCCACGGCCAGCCCTTGTGTTGCGGATTTAGGTCGAACGCAGCTCTCCCATTTGTCAGCACCTCTGGCGACAGGGCTGCGCCCCAGGGCTCCTCTCCCTCTGAAGGCAGGCGGGCCACGCACAGCCACTGGAGCTTCTCCTGGGAGCAGCACTCAGCCAACCCGAGCCAGTTCCGCCTGAAGAGATTCCCCCACTGTGTGCTGGGTGTGGGCGGTGGGCAAAATCCAGAGAAGCAGAGACAATGGTGCCTGGCAAGGCCCCAGCCCCGGCTCGGGAGGGCACCCTGCTTTCTGGGAAGAGATTACTTCCCTAATCACAGTTGGCTCTAACTAATCCTAAAATGAACCTTCAGATCTTGAGAAAACCAGGATTAAAGACAGAAACCTGGAAGTGGCGCTCACATGGGCGAGCCCTCGGGGAGGCGTGCTCAGGCAGTCCCGGTTCCAAGACGCTTCACACACTCCCTCTTCCTCCCTGACCTGAGGTCTCCCAGGCTCTGTGCCGCCAGGGCTGTCCCTCCAGGGGCTCTGTCCCTCAGGGGGCTCTGAGGCCCAGCCTCCGGCCTGTGCCCTCCCTCCTCACCTCTGCAGAGTCACCCAAGACCAGTGGCCGCTGGCTCCCCCTTCCTGGGGCCCACCCTGCCCCCCGAGGCCCATCGGGTCTTGCCTGTCGGGGGCTTTGCTCACTGTGGCCCCTCAGGCAGTCCTGCCCAGTGGCTCCCACATCCAGTAGGTGGGGAAGGAGTGGTACGGCCCGCTGAGGGCCCCATGAGGGCCGGGTTCTAAGGGGAATCTGCCTTCACCGTCTGGTCAGCCCCGTGTCCTCTGCACCAAACATCTGGGGCTGAATCTGAGGACGGAGCCCGCAGTAGCTGCTGTTCTTCCACACTTTGTGTCACCCCCAAAGCTCTTAAAAACAGGCATTTTCAACTTTCCCATTCAGGCTTAAAGAAACCCTTTCCCAACAAAGAACTCAAACCCTTGGACTTTGGCATGACAGCTCAGCAGGCGGTGAGCCTGCAGGTTCCCCGATCCACCAGAAAGGAGGAAGCTGCCAGTGCGTCCCTGGCTCCCGCTCCTTCCCTCTGCCCTAGCCCTGCACAGTCCAGAAGGGGACCCTGGCTCTGTCCCTCCCCAGGGCTGGCTCCCAGAGCCAGATAGGGGGTCCCGGCTGGGATGGTCCAGCACAAAGCCCTCGGGGATGCACTCAAAGGCCGCCCTCCAGGGACCAGGAGCTTGGCACAGGTCACCTGGTCTTTCCCTAAGGCAGAGCCTTCCATGGGGAGACATGGGGAGATTTCTCGGCCCCCCACTCCTCACCCCAGAGTCCATGGGGAGATTTCTCGGTCTCCCACCCCAGAGTCCATGCCATCAGCCTGGAGTCTCTGTCACAGCCCTAACCACCCCCAGCACAGCAGCACAAACGGCCAGGCCCATTCCCAGGATGTGCCGCTCCCCATTTGTGGAATTCCCACAGCCCCTCCTGCTCTGCCCGCCCCTCCCTCCTTCCTTTCAGGCCCCTGTGGACGGTGCACACACGGGAACCCCTTGGGCACCCTGGCTGCTCTCCTGACTCCACCTGGACACGGCCCCAGGCTCCATCTCAATTCTTCCTAGACTGACGACACGACACTTTGGAAATGGACTTGACACACAGCCAGCCCCAAGGGAAGGCTGGCAGTCGGATAGAACAGGGAGCCCAGAGCTC
This sequence comes from Homo sapiens, assembly GCF_000001405.40. Classification (NCBI taxonomy): domain Eukaryota; kingdom Metazoa; phylum Chordata; class Mammalia; order Primates; family Hominidae; genus Homo; species Homo sapiens. The sequence goes on along the minus strand of NT_187550.1, from coordinate 113,051 downwards.
AGGCTTGTAAGGGCACTCGCCAATGTGAGGGAGCAACCCAGAGCTGAACATGGTCATCACACGGCCAGAGTGCAAGGACCACCTGCTGCTCCTGCTTATCCTCCACAGGGTCCCCTGCTCCTCAGACACACACACACATCCCGCTGCTCCTGAAACACCCACACATTACCGCCTGCCACTCACAAACCCATGCACAACCCCTGCCACTCACACACCCACACACTCCCCCTGCCCCTCACACACACACACACTCCCCCTGCCCCTCACACACACACACTCCCCCTGCCCCTCACACACACACACACTCCCCCTGCCCCTCACACACACACACTCCCCCTGCCCCTCACACACACACACTCTCCCCCTGCCCCTCACACACACACACTCTCCCCCTGCCCCTCACACACACACACTCCCCCTGCCCCTCACACACACACACACACTCCCCCTGCCCCTCACACACACACACTCCCCCTGCCCCTCACACACACACACTCCCCCTGCCCCCTCACACACACACACTCCCCCTGCCCCTCACACACACACACACTCTCCCCCTAACCCTCATCCACACTTTTTGCCTCGGGCACTTCGCTCTGGCTATCCCTTCCCTGGACATGCTTCCCCCTAACCCACAGGGCTGGCTGCCCCCTCTGCCCCAGGGATGGCTTCCTGACTGTCTTTGGTCCTTGGTGCCCAGGAGTGCTGCCCCATGGGATATTTGGGTCTCATTTGAAGTGGGATCCCCACTGCCTACAGGGCGTGATGGGCACTGAATGTTTATTGAATGAATATTAAACTGGAGAGAGCTCCTCCATTGCCCAGAGCGCTGGCTGCTGCAAAGTCCAGCATTTTGGGCTACCTCGATAAGACGGATGAGACCATTCAAGCTCCTAAAAGTGGTTGGTATGCTAAGGGTATTGGCTGCCTGTGACCCGAGTTCTATTCTGTGTCCCAGGAGGGTGCCAGGTTGGGCAGTTCCAGCACCAAGTCAGGGCCTGCCCAGGGTGTGTCTGCATCTTCCGAGGTCTGGCAACATCAGGATGGGGCTGGGTTTGTCTGTCTTATTCCAGAAGGCATATAGCTAAGGCATAGCTAAGATTTCAGCTGACAGTGGAGCATGTTTTAGGCCAGGTGAGCGTGGTTTCTCTCTGGGCACATGACCCACTCCTGAGAGAGCTCTGTGTGGGGCAGATGGTGCTCACCATGCTGAGCCCAGATCTGCCAAAGTGCTCTGAGCCGATGCTGCAATTGCTTGTCAATGATCCCACTTTGCAGGTTAAGTCTGCCACTCCTTGGCAGGCGGCGCCTCTAAAGCCATTGTCATCCAGAAGTAGGTGTGCTGCTCACTGGAGGCTCTGCAGTAATTTAAGGAAATAATTCAGCCGAGGAGCTGAGACAGCCTCTTCCTGGGCCCAGTGTCCAGATGGTTTTGGATGAAGCTTACACATGGGAAGCCAATGTTTATCCCTCCACTCCTTCACTCTCCCATGTGTGCATTCATCCATCCATTTGTCCATCCACTCATTCGTTCATTCCTCCTTCACCCACCTGTGGGTGCATCCATCCATCCACTCATCCATCCATCCATCCATCCACATATCTACCCATCCTTCCGCCCATCCCTCCATTTACTCATCCATTCACCCATCCACTCACTCATCCATCCATCAATCCACTCATCCATCCACCAACCATTCACGCATCAGCCATCCATCCATCTGTCCATTCACTCACTCACTCATTCATCCATCCATTCACTCATCCACCTATCCACTCATCCATATATCCATTCATTCACTCATCCATCCATGAGTTCACTCACCCACCCATCCATCAATCCACTCATCCATCCATCCATTCACTTATCCATATATCCATTCATTCATCCATCCATCCATCAATCCACCCATCCAACTATTCACTCATCCATTCATCCAAGCCATCTATCCATCCACTCATCCATCCATCAGTCCACTCATCCATCCAGCTATCCATTCACTCATCCATCCATCAATCCACTCATCCATCCATTCACCCATCCATCCATTCACCCATCCACCTATCCATCCATCCACTCACTCACCCATCTATCAATCCACTCATCCATCTATCCATTCACTCATTCATATATCCATTCATTCATCCATCTATCCATCCATCCATCCATCCACCCATCCATCCATTCACCCAAGCCATCCAGCCATCCACCCATCCATCCATTCACCCATCCATCCATCCATCCACCCATCCATCCACTCGTCCATTCACCGAAACCATCCATCCATCCAAACCATCCATCCATCCATCCATCCATCCACTCATCCACCCATCTGACCATTCACTCATCCATCCATCCATCCACTTATCCATCCATCCACCCATCATCCATCCATCCATCCATTCACTCCATTCATCCATTCGCTCATCCACCCTTCCATCCATTTACTCATCCATTCATCCATTCATCAATCCACGCATCCATCCATCTATCTATTCACTCATCCATCCATCCATCCACATGTCCATTCACGTGCTCAGATCTGCAGGACTCTGCTGGGGACAGGCACTGGGGACACAGGAGGAATAAGACAGACAACCTCTGCCATTGTGGCATCAACCTGGTTGAGCCAAAAGACCTTGGAGGAGGAGGTGTCCTCAGGAGCTCAGAGGAGGAAGGCTCCGAGCTCAGGAAAGGTGGAGCAGGAGAGATGCTGAGTGTGAAGGGATGAAGCTGGGGTGAGTGCATGATTTGGGGGAGGGTGGAGTCTGGCATCCCAGGACCTGGTACCCTGAGACCTGGCACCCTGAGACCTGATACCCTGAGATCTAGCACCCTGAGATATGGCACTTCGCGACCGGGCACCCTGAGGCCTGGCACTTGGAGATCTGGCATCCTGAGACCTGGCACCCTGAGACCTGGTACCCCAACACCTGGTACCCAGAAACCTGGCACGCCAACACCTGGCACCCTGACACCTGGTATCCTGAGACTCTTGTCTCAAGGGTGGGTGAGGAAAGCCTTGGTGGCTTCATCGTGCACTGAGACTCCTGGTTGTGGGACTCAGCCCAGACGCTGGGCAGATGATGTGCAGGATGGGAACCCCAACTCTAAACATGCCCCAGTGCAGCCCCTGGCTCCTGGAGAAGCCGGCAGTGGGGGTGGCCACGCTGGGAGAGCTCAGCCATTTCTGCAGTAGACATGAGGCTGGTTGGGTGCTGGAGCTTGGGCCCAGACAGGCATCTTAACAAGCCTGTGTGGTCACAGGGAGCGCCACACACGCCCAGAGGCGGGGAGCTCCTGGGGTGGCAGGGAGTGGGCTGGGGGGGCTGGCGGCCAAGAGTGACTCACCATCCCTGTCTCTCTCTCAGCCTCTGGCGGAGCTGCCAGGTACCCACAGGGAGCCCTGGTGGTTCCTTCCCTGCCCCGATGCTATCAGCACTTCCCAACCTTTGCCCCTTTCCTCAGGATTCTCCCGGGCGACACCTTAGCTCCAAACGCCATGGATTGTTTTATAGCCTACAGCTGATTCTCCGTGGGCAGCTCCTGGAAAATGAAACTTCACCCCTTCAGGGCCAGACCCTCCCCTGTGGAGACTCCTGGGAGAGTCTTTGCTTCCAGGCCTCCCGTGATGGCTCCTGACTCCAAACCCACTGAGCATACCTCTCCTGCCAGGACTGGGGTCCACAGGGCCCACTCACTGGTCCTCTCCTGGGAGGACTGGGTCCCCTGGGGACTTTGCTGACCACCCTGGCCTTCTAGGCCATCCTTGTCCCCAGAACCTCCTTTCCTATGCTTCTTCAAGGAGAACCTAAGGGCAGTTCAGCTGGAGTGGGTAGCAGATATGGTGAAGGGGTAGGTGCTGTGCGCATTGAGGGATTCCTGCCTCCAGGACCAGAGCACATGCAATAAAACCATTCACCCCAGGAGGTGAAGGTGACCCACAGCTGCCCTCACAGCCTGGGCACTGAGTGCCCGGTGGAAGGCTGCACCTGGGAGAAATCCACAGCTTAGGCAGGTGGTCTAGGCAGTGTCACACCCCCAGTGGCGGAGGCTCCCTGGGACACGCTGGGTAAGACAGCGGGGGTCCGGGAGTCAAGTGTCGGGTGAGGACGACCTCCTGCACCCACCCAGACAACAAGGAAGCACCCAGTGCCTCAGATTTGGGGCCGGGAGCAGGGAACCTGGCGCTCAGGGATCTGGGTCTTGACCCTGTCCAGTTAAGGAGGAGGTGCTGGAACCCCAAGGCTGAAGCTCCTGCAGAAAAGCATTCCCACACTCCCACAGTGGGGGTAACGCCGCTCAGAGGGGGGTGGGGGGGCTGCGCCGCTCAGAGCAGGGGGCTGCACTCCTGACCCTGTGCCCTAGCGTCCTCCTGACCCTCCTACGGCTGCGCGAGGCACTGCAGACTCCAGATACCCGTCTCGCTCCTGCCTGCCCTTCCAGCCAGGGTTCACCAAGATGTGGGGCGGCCTGGGCCTCCGCCATCACATCCCTCAGCAACACAAGCTCCACTTCGAGAGCCTGCCCCCACCGCCCCCACCCAGCCCCACTGTCCTGGTTTCCCCGTGGGCAGTCACTGCCGCTGCTCAGGTCCTAACCCTCAAGGCGCCACCTCCCTGAGCCAGCGCTGCCCAGCTCTGGAGTTCAGGCCCCATGGGATGTCAGCTCCCACACCTCCTGTGCGTCCACGACCCAAGGGGTACCCACGGCCAGACGCCTGGGGACAAATAGACCCAGCTGGGCCTAGAATCCACTCCCGGCCCCAGCCCCTCCCCGGTTTCCGACATCTCAAAATTGTAACTCCCCCAGTTCCCTTTTGGTCGGGTCCTGTCGCTCATGTGTGGCTCAGAGCTGCAGGGCGAGGTCAGCGCAGCAGAGCCCCCCGAAGGGTTGAGAACAGGATGGGGCCAGGAGGTCTGGCCCCTGCTGTGTCACTGATGACCCTGTGACATCCCCACTCCTGCTTCAAGGAGGCCCTGCTGTCCACCGCCCTGATGCCCAAGGGAAGCTCCCCACCATCCTCCCGGAATCTCCCCGGTGCCATTCTCTGCCCCATGGCCAGGCAGTCGTCTGAGAACTCAGATCTGACCACATCCACTCCTCACCACGACGCTAGGTGGGGACCAAAGTCCTCCAAGGCCTGTAGCTGAGTTGCTCGGGCCTCCCTCTGCCTCCCCAGGGACCCACCCTAGGCCTCCTCCTCTGGCTTCTGACACCCCCGCCTCCCTCTCCTTCCAGGGGCCCATTGCTTGCAGTCCTGACACCTGCCACTGCCTGGATCCCACCCCAGGGCCCCCACCCAGTGCTGCCAGGCCTGGCAGTCTCTGCAAGGCACAGCCTCAGCCCCCAGAGGAAGCCCAGGAAGGAAGGAAAGCCTGGCCCAGGGTTCCCAACACGGACGGTGCAGGGTGAGGCGGGGATTCTGGTGGGCACCTAAGGCCTAGAGTGGCCCTGGTGCGGGTGGCTGCAGGCTGGGGGCCCCCAAGGGGCACAGGAGGAAGCCCCCTCACCCTGCCTGAGGCAGACACTAGGCCCTGCCGCCTCCACTGCTAAAGACTTCCTCGTCCTCTCAGTCTGGGAGGTCTGCGCTGTGGAGTGGCTCCGTGGCCTCGGCCCTTGCCTCCCCTTCTGCATTTTAAAAAGATGCTGTAAAAGGCAGGGGAACCCCAGTGCACACAAATAGGGGGCTTGTGGGGAGCCCTTGCCGGAGCCAGACACGCGGCCTGAGGCTGGTGGGCCAACAGCAGCACCTGTTCCTTGCCCAGGCTCCTGGGCCACCTGCTGAGGCCCCAGCCCCAGTGTTTGCTTGAGGCAGCTCTGGCCCTCTGGCCATCCTCTGTCCCAAGCTGCCTGGAGTAGAAATCTCCTGGGATCAACATTGCTGTGGGTTTCAGGGTACCCGGACTCTTATTTCCCCAACCAGGTTACAAATGGCTTGAAGAAGGCTGGGGCTGTGAGTTAGAAACTCTCAGGATGTGTGAGAAATTCAACAAATGTTTGGAAAAGCAACAGGAATGGCAGCTCTTTTCTGCTGGAAGAGACATTTCTGTTCGTGTAACTTGAGACTGAAAGAGTGTGGCCAACCCCTGACCATTTTAAACAACAAAATGTGCCAAGCAGCTTAGTAGGTTCAGACCCCAGTCCGGGGGCTGTGGGCATGTGGAGGAGGCTGGGTGAAACTGGAGAAGTTCCCGCTGTGGTGCAGGCTTGGGCCCCGGTGTCTGTGAAGGCCTGGACCTGAGGGTCCTCTGGGAACACAGGTCGTGCACCTGAGGCTGGCTGCACAAGGAGGACGGTCTGGGCCAGTGGAATCTGAGAAGTCCAGAGTTCACAGGGAAGGGGTTGGGGGAGGAAGCACACAGGGAGGGCTGGGGGCTGTGTTCAAGAGGTGTGGCTGGCAGAGAGGGGATGGAGGGTGGGACACCCTGGGGGCCAATCCGGGCAGACCCAGAGCAGACCTCAGCTGTCACTGCCGGGGCTGCAGAGTGCACAGTGGGTTGAGGGGACGACAGGGAGCGTAAAGGGCAGGTCTGGAGAGGGTCTGCGCCTGTGGGATACCGCGATGAGCTCCCACAGCTGCACAGGGTAAGGCTCGCCTTCCCAGGTGGAGCCAACAATCCGAGACAAAGACAGCCGCTGAGTGCTATCAGGGTGGGCCTTTGTAAAGGACCGCCCTGCCCCGGGGAGTTGCTGCTGGAGCCGGCAGCCTCCCCGCCCTCAAGGACGTCTTCCCAGAACCAGTCCAAGTGTTTGGGAGACCTGAAGGCTTTTCCCTGTGAATAACAAACTCTGAGGCCAGGCAAAGCCCTGGTCAGTGTGCCTTATCTGCCGGCTCCCAGGCGGGGCTGGCTGGTGCCTGGCGGCTGTCATTGGACCTTCAGATGCCAGATTCTGACTCTGTACACTGGGCTAAACTGGGAGAGGCCCCAGCTTGTACAGAAATTAGATATTCACGGCCGGGCGCGGTGGCTCACGCCTGTCATCCCAGCACTTTGGGAGGCCGAGGCGGGTGGATCACCTGAGGTCTGGAGTTCAAGACCAGCCTGACCAACATGGAGAAACCCTGTCTGTACTAAAAATACAAATTAGCTGGGCGTGGTGGCTCATGCCTGTAATCCCAGCTACTCGGGAGGCTGAGGCAGGATGTGGAGGTTGCAGTGAGCCGAGATCGCGTCATTGCACTCCAGCCTGGGCAACAAGAGCAAAATTCTATCTCAAAAAAAAAAAAAAAAGAAAAAAAAAGAAATTACCTTTTCAGTTTACACCAGGGGGGCACTCCCGTCAGAGGAAAGCAGGGTGAGCTTTAGGACTGGGCGGCCGCAGAGCCCAGGTTGAGTCTGGACCTCCCTGATGCCCCAGGGGCCCTTCTCAAGGAAATCAACTGTAGGAGGCAGCCAGCCTCAGAGACTCCCCCCCGGCCAGCATCCCAAGCCCCCAGTGGAAAGCCCAGGGAGGACAGCCTGAGCCTGGAGAGCAGGCAGCCCGGCGGGGAGCTGAAAGACACCAGGGCGAGGAGGAGGCTGCGGAGAAGGGAGGAGGCGGGAGGGCTCAGAAGAGCCCTTATGAGACAGAAAGCAAACACACAAGGGGCCTGAAGGGGAGGGGAGACCCTGGCATAAATAGGGCAGGCGGCAGGCGTCACTGAAGGAAAAGGCGCCTTCTCCAATCAAGCCTGCTGGGCGTACCAGGTTCCACCAAGGCCAAGGTCCTCTCAGCTGTTCTCCCCGGAGCCTGTCCCTCCCCTGTCCTGCGTGGGCGCCCCTCCTCGGCCCCAGCATCGAAACCTCCTCTCGCCCCAGTCCAAAGCTGCTCTGGAAACCTGCCGCGGCGCCTGCTGCTCTGATCTTGCTTCTCCTGGCCCCACTCGGGCCCCCTAATCCCCCCTCCACACGAGTGACCACCTCCCTGCCACCCCTGGAGAGACCCTACCCTGTGGACCAACACATGAAACTTTGATCCCCACGAGCTCCTCAGGAAGCTGACCTTCCTGTCACCTTGCCAGGAGCTACCTGCCGTGCCCACATTACTGGTTCATTGGCGCCGGTTAAGAAGAAGAGAAATCTGACCGACCGGGATTTTCTAAAAAAAAAAAAAAAAAAGGAGGCCCGCCAATGGGAACGCTGCGCCTGTAGGGAGGATTCTGCTGGGTTTCATGCGGGTAGCACCGCTTTTCTTTTCTGCCCTTGTAACTCACGAAAAAACGCCATCACTCCAAGGACGTTTCTCTAAAAAGCCTGAGAACCCCGAAGGAAACCCGGCCCCGGGGACTCCCTGGGCGCGAGCAGCCTGCAGTCTGCGGGGCTCGGAGCGGAGGCGGGGCGGAGACCCCACAGGGACCCGGGAGCCGGGAGTCCGGGGCTCCGAGGCTGTGCCCCCGCCGGGGAGGGGAGACCTCGGGACCCGCAGGGGCGGCTTAGCGCGGCCAGAGTCGCTCCCGAGTCTCGCTCTGCTGGACCCGAGAGCCGGACTCTCCCGGGCGGCCGCCGCGCGGCTCCGACCTGATGCGCGCGGCCACAACGAAGCCCCCAGGCCCAGCAGAGGCGGCCGCACACCCCGCGGGCAGATCCGGAGACCCCGGGGCCACTTACCGATCTTGGCCAAGCTGGCCACGAGGATCCAGAGCGCGATGACGTAGGGATCCTGCACGTGGGCCCACTCGAAGGTGACCACCTGGAAGCCCCCGCTCTCGCCGTGCGCGCCGCCGGGCTCCACCTCGACGCCCCCGGCCCGCGCCAGCCCGCCCAGCGCCAGCGCCAGCAGCAGCCCCCGGTCGGGGCCCCGGGCCCCGAGTCCCCACATTGCCGCCTGCTCAGCGCAGGGCTGGGACGCGCATGTCGCGGGGGGTCCCGGCTGGGCTGGGCCGACGCGCGGGGCTGGGACCCGGCGAGGACCCGGCGCGCTCCGGTGCCGGTACCGGCTACAGTCCGATCCCCGCCCGCCGGGGTGGCCTTTAATCCCGCGGCCCCCTCCCGCCCCGGGGCGGAGCCTGCCCGCCCCCGCCGCGCACTCGCGAGCGCAGACACCGCCGCAGCTCCCGGCACGCCCGCCCCGCCCGCGCACGCCCACCCCGCGCTCCCTGGTGCCCACCCTCCCCCGGAGCCCGCGGCCTGGAGGTCCGGGAGGTCGCGGCAAGAGCGAGCCCGGGACTGCGCGGCCGCCTTCCTGGGGCGTGGGGAGCACAGCGCGGGGCAGCGGGACAGGCGGTTCCGCGCAGCTCCTGGGATGCCCGGGCAGCTGTGGGTGCGCTCGCCCCAACCCTCCTTCATAAACGCAGGGCCTGGGGCTGCGCAGACCCCACAGGGCGGCCCAAGGGTGCACAGGGGCCCCAGGTGTGTCTTCACACAGCCCCTCGCTATTGTCTTCAGCAGGAACCTGCATTCCACAGCCGGACCGGCCACTTACCAGAACTCGGGGGCGCCCAGGCCTTGCGTGGTGCGCTGGTAAGTCTCTCTGCCCCTCCCATCGCCAGCCAGCATCCCCCACCCCAGGCTCTGAGATGGGAGCCCAGGGGCCCCCGTGGTCTCCCCTGCCCCATCCCCTGCCTTTAGACCTCCGCCCAAAACAATTCGATACCCCCAGGGCTTCACACGGATGCGGGGCCTCTGCCCACAGCCCGCTCCGGCAGCACTGGCTCTCTTAAGCATCTCAGGCTCCACTGTGCAAACCACACCCCTGTTTTCCTCCAAGCCCACCCTGCAGCCTTCCAGCCCCAGACCTGGGACGCAGGTGGACTTCTTTCGCTCACAAGGTTTCCAAGCTCTTAGCATATCTGCTCTACTTTCAAAATGTGCACAAAACCAGCGGCTTCTGGGAGCCTGCAGCCACCTGCAAAGGCTCCTGCTCGGCCCTCTACCTGCCCCTTCAGTCCCTCCTATTGGGACCCTCCCTCTCAGAGGAAAGGCTCAACGTCTCCCGGGAGCTCAGACCCCAGCCACTGCCTGACCCCCACCCCCATGCACTCCACGGCCCACACCAGCAATCGGCGCCTCTCGGGGCCTTTGCACGCCCTGCTCCCTCTGTTTGGACGGCTCTTGTGTGCTCCCTTCCTCAGCTCCCCAGGGGCTTGGCTCCAATGCCACCTTCTGGTCCCACCCGATACCCACTCAGCTCACAACTGTGGCAGCTAAGCTCCCGCCTCCCCTGCTTACTCGGTTGGCTCCGGGAATCAGCTCACCTCCCAGCCCTGGGGGCTGCTGGCTTTGACCTTGAGCTGTCTGCCCTCACCCTGGGAATGTCTGCTCCACGAGCAAGGGGCTCATGCATACATCCCAGGAGCTTGGAAGATAGCTGGGCACACAATAGCACTCGCAAGATAGTGGCTGAGCGGATGGATGATAGATGGATGGAAGGACAGATAGGTGGACAAAGGGCAGGTGGGCGGTGGGGTGGGTGCAGATGGAGGATGGATGTGTCTTCTGACATCTGAGTGGGGGCTGCGGAGGCCTGAGGAGGACAGTGCTGAGTTCAATGACTTCACCCTGCAAGGGCCCCAGTTTCATGCTAATGGAAGTGGCCCGTGTAGCACAGGGAAGGTGCATTCAGATGGTGCTCGCCTGGTGACTCGGCTGCTGAGTGGCGTGGAGGGAGGGCAGCCCTGGCCTGGGCCACTGCAGGGTCTGGACAGGGCACCGGGGGAGTGGAAGTGTGTGACTGGCCACTAGTATGGTCTTGCGAGGTGGGAGCATCGGAGTCGCTCTTGGCCTGTGTCCCTGCCCCACCTGTCTCTGTCCCCCACTCCACTCCCAGCCTCTTGTCCCAGAGAAAAAGCCAGCAGGACAAGAACAGGATTCCCTCCAGTCCGGAGCTTCCCTGCTCTTTCCTTATGGTTCCTGGGTGGAGCCGTTAGGAACGACGTCCTCTCTGAAGATGTTGCCCTTGCATTCCACAGGAAGGCCAAATTTCCACCAGACCAGTGTGTTCCATGATGCCCACTGGACCTCCGGCCACCCCACCCCCCAACCAGCCTGTCCTAAGAGCCGACAACCTTTCTCCACAAAGCTGTTCAAAGGGCAGAAGAGCAGTGTCACTGCCTGGAAGGACAAATCCAGAACAGACACCAGTGCCAGGCGCTGGCCATCAGGTAGTGTGCTGCCCACACCTCCACTGCCCCCCACAGCAGGAAGGGCTGCCTCATGGAGAATAGAAAGGCAATGAGCCCCTGAAGTGGCGTGGCCAGAACAAGGCACACCCCACTGCCCACGAGTCCTGCCAGGGCACACCCCACTGCCCACGAGTCCCTGCACAGGTGAGAAGTGTGGCTGTTTGGCAGCATCTCAATCTGTGAGCATTTGGAGGATGAAATGCGTCTGCACTCCAAGGTTGCTGGAGGGCTCGGGGCAGACGGGCGCTGCCCCAGCCTGTGATGGGCATGGCCTTGAGGATGCCAGCCTCATGCAGAAGCCAGTCTAGGGGATTATACAGGGTGTGCACACCCACTCCCCTACCCTCGGACTGGAGCCACAAAACCCTCCCTCTAACTGGGTCGTGGTTTTAGGCAGGGCCGTGGCACCCCACCACTGCAGGGGCCACCATCCATATCAGGCAGACTGTATGAACCGTGCCCCTTGGAATTGTACAGTGCACAACCTGCACATCCTCATGGCCAAAAAGACCCAGAGACTTGTGTGTGTGTGTGAGGGGGTCTTGGGAAGTATCCTGAGAACATTCCTGTCCTGTGGGTGGTGACGATCTGATAACTGCCCGACCACTTCCTGCCTCAGGCAGGCACGCATAGCATTCTGGATCCTTCCACCGTGGCCTGGACCCCTTGTGGTCCAGGGACCCCCTGCACGTATGGGGAAGGGGCGTGGCTGTAAAACATTCAAAAATGTGGAAATAATGCAAAAGCCAGTCGGAAAACAACTGTAATCTTATACCCAGCTGCCACAGCATCTGAACTTCAGGATTAAGAAAATAAAACTGAAAACACCTAGTCTGTCACATTAATTTCCTGTCATGAATTCCACATACGGCTTGTGAAAGTGTCTTGTGGATGAAGAGGCGCATCCATTCATACTGTTGTTAACAATATTTAAGAGAAGAAAGTTAAGTTTTTAAGTAACTTCCAATGCTTGAAGCCAGGCAGGAGACAGGCATCACTGCCCACTCTAAGTTTATTTTTCAACCCAAAGTTGTCAGGGGCCAGGTCTTCTTAAGGAAGGTTTTATTCCACTGGGAGCCACACCTGCTGGCCTTCCCTTGGTCCACACCTGCTGTGTGCCAGGCACATCTCAGCTTCAGGCAAGAGGCCCCTCTGGGAGATGCCCTTCCAGGAAAGAGACCACCGCGCCCCCCCGTCATGCCACCTCCCGTCAATGCCACTCTTATTGGTTGTTGGATCCGGGGGATACAAATGTCTTTCTCAAAAGCAGATTAGAGCTCAGCCCTTCCCTTCCCGGGTGGCCTCTGAGGCCTCAGGTGGGACCTTTCCTCTTCTTCAGAGATGGACAGACTCTTGACCAGCCTGGAGCTGGAGGGCCTGCAGGACTTGAGGCCCGCGCTCTGGTCCGTCCTGTCCGTGTTGGGCCTGGGGTCTCCTCACCCGCGGAGACTCACCTTTCCTGGCTCCCTGAGGGCACCAGCCCGGGTTGGAGTCAGACCCCCCCACTGTGACACCCCTGCGGGGGTAGCTCAGGGCCTGTGTCTGAAGCGGCAGCTCCCCCCGTGGGTTGGGTGGGGAGTTCAGGGGCCCCGGGGTTGGGTGGGGAGCTCAGGGGCCCCGGGGTTGGGTGGGGAGCTCAGGGGCCGGGGGCTGCGCCGGGAGGGGCGAAGGGCTGGGGACGGCGCCGCAGGAGAGTCTCTGTGCCCCGCAGTCCACCCCAGGGCAATGGCGCGGGGGACCTGGCAAGGCCCGGCAGGCCCTCCCAGCACCGTCCCCGGCCGGCCCGTCAGTGCCCGTCGGGGTCGCGCGTCCTCCCTTCCGCCCTCGGGGACAGCCCGGCCGGCCACGCCGCCGAACTCGCCATGGGCCTCTCTCCGCATCCGCATGTGCATCCGCAACCGCTTCCGTCCCGCTGAGCGCACGAACCCTCTCGCTCCTGTCCCTCCCGCCCCGCCCGCCCCGCCCGCCCCGGACGCCTCTGCTGCGGTGTCTTAGCGGTCCGCGGACAGGCGACCTCCCCCGTGGACGCCCCTCTCCCGGCCGCCGCCCCGCCCCGCGCCCCGCTCCCCCGCGCCCCTGGGCCGAGACCTCCGGTCGCCTCGCCCCGTCTCCGGCCACGAAAGGCGCTGCGGACCTGGCGGTCACGCGCGAAGCCAGTGGCCTCCCCCCGCCCGGGGCTCCGGGATCCGGGCACCAACAGACCCGGAGGGACCGCGCCGCCCCGGGCAAACCCGCCCACCCCGTTGCCCAACACAACTGGAAGCACTAAAACCGAATCCAACCGTGTGCAGAGACCAGCCCAGCGCTCTGGGAGGCCCAGGCAGAAGGATCACTTGAGGCTGGGAGCTCGAGACCAGCCTGGGCCACATAGTGAGACCCTGTCTCTAAAAAACATAATAAAAAACAGTAGCCGAGTGGTGGCGCTCGCCTGTGGCCCCCGCATTTCGGGAGGGGAAACCCTTGGGAAACGTAGAATAGAAGCAGATTCCTTTAAGCTGATAGGTAGCATCTGTAAGGCCGGCAGGAGCAGGTGCTGGCACTCAGGAAGCCTCCTCTGAAGCAGGAACGTTTGCCACCTGCCCCCACCCTCAGCCTCATCTTTGGAGCAGGTGCTGGCACTCAGGAAGGCTCCTCTGAGGCAGGAACCTCGGCCACCGGCCCCCACCCTCAGCCCCATCTTCAGGATGCAAGACAGCTCCCGCCTGTAGGCAGCACAGAGGTCTTCCTCGCACACTCTCAGAACCGGCAAGAGTTAGCTCAGCAAGGCTGCTGGCTACAAAGCCAACAAGCCACCGTGAACTGGGTTTCTATGCACGAACAACACACTTTTTAGAAAATGAAAGCTAATTTAACAGTACTATTCATGCAGCATCAAAAATATGAAATACCTAGGAAAAAAAAATCTAGCAAGGGGTGTGGCGGAAATTTATAGGATAATTCAACAGTGAAACCAAATGGACATGGAGCTTTCTTTGTGGAAAGGTTTTAAATGATGGATTTAATTAATAAATATTAGGCTGTTTGGACTTTTCTTTTTGTGTCCATTTTGATAAATCATATTTTTTGACTTTTTGTCTTAATTCTGATAAATTGTACTTTTCAAGAAATGTGTTCATTGCATCAAAAATTCATGTTTATTGATGTAAAGCACATAATGTGATTGTAATCTCCCCTGTGTCCATAAGACTCTGCAGTGATGTCTCCCTTTTGTACCTCCTGGCGATGATTTTTGTTTTCTCTTTTTTAATGATCAACATTGCTGGGAGGTTTATCAACTTTATTCATCTTCTCACAGAACCAGATTTTGGTCTTGTTGATTTTCTCTGATTTATATCTGTCTTCTCTTTCATACATTTTACTATGATTTCCTTCCTTCTGCTTTGCCTTTATTTTGATGTCCTTTTTCTAGTTTCTTGAGCTGAAAGCATAGGTCATTGGTTTCAGCATTTCCCCTTTTTAAATGTGGAACTTTTTCAATAAGCTGTGGATTTCCCTTTGGTGGCTAGTTTTGCATATCCTGGAGGCTTTTTCATATGCTGTGTGTTCCTCATTCAGCTCAAGACATTGTATCCTGGACGCTTTTATATGCTGTGTGTTCCTCATTCAGCTCAAGACATTTTCTGATTTCTACTGTGGCTCCTTTGACATATGGGTTATTTAGAAGTGTGTTGCTTAATCCACAATTGCTTAATTTCTAAACATTTGGAGATTCTCCTCTTATCTTTCTCTTACTGAATCTACTGTAATTCCACTCAGCCCAGAGAACACAGGCTGTGTGACCTCAGTCCTCTTATGTTTGGCGAAAGGCGCTTTGCGGGAGGAACCTGGACCTCAGTCCTCTTATGTTTGGCGAAAGGCGCTTTGCGGGAGGAACCTGGACCTCAGTCCTCTTATGTTTGGCAAAAGGCGCTTTGTAGGAGGAACCTGGTCTGTGTGGGTGAATCTGCCTCAGTCATTGACGCAGTTCTGTGTTCTGTGCTCTGCTCAGACTCAACGGGACTCGTAGGATGCAGGGACGCAGAGCTCTAGGTGTGCTGGTTTGTTCCAGTTGGGTCTGAAAATCTTTATCTTCCAAGACCTTTTCTTAGTTAATAACATGCAGACGGCTGACGGCAGCCCCCCAGGATCCTCACGCTGCAGCTGAGCCTCTCCACCTGTGTGGGCAGCAAGGTTTCTCCCTCTCATCGCCCCCGTGCCCGCCATGCTCAGGGATGCGGCCTGTGCGCCCCGTCACGGCTTCAGACCTGCTCAGAGGAAAACGAGCTCACTCTGCTCTGGGTCCTTGGATGTGTTTTCTTCTGCCTCCTGGACTCGGTTCATTTCCCCATGGCGTCTTTATAATTTGCGTCCCTTCAGCAAATGTTTGCTTGAGCGGTGTTAGTTTCTGCATGAGGCACAGACGTACCCTCTGAATGCAGGCAGCACACGGGAAGCAGACCCTCGAGGGGGACGAATGTCAGAGGAGATGCGCAGGCAATTTGTGAGCGTGGAGTCGCCAGGAAGGAGAGATGCGGCCGGACTGGATGCCACATTCCACCACCCAGGCCGGCTCACCTCTGCGCGGCCGCGTTCCAAATCATTGTTCACACAGAATTTGGCTGCAGCGGGTGTCCTTGAGTCTCTCACACTTGAGTAATCATCCAGGTCTCCTCCTCCGGCTTCCTTTGAGGCCCTGGCCCCCCAGGGGCTCCGGCGTGTGTCCCCAGCAGACACTGCCTGGCCTGCCTGGCTCAGCCTTGCATCTACCCCCAGGGTGTGTTTGCCCCTCCTCCACGAGATGCGCTCTTGTCCTCCCTCTCCTCCCCTCCAGGGACCCTCCAGAGGCTCGTTCACTGCCTGGAGACACAGCGACAGCCCTCGCCACTAGCTGGAGGCTGGTGCTGGTGTGGGGCCTCAGACCCCTAGAAACACCGGGAAGTCAGGTGGAGCTGCGGGAGCTGAGACCTGGAGCAGGTGGCTGGCCGAGCCGGCACTGCCCTCACTTGGCATGGACCAGTCTTACTGTGCCTTGGAGCACCCCCCGCAGAGCAAGGGTGGTGAGTCCCTTGGCTACAGGGCTGGGCACGCTCTAGGTGGTTGACACGTGTGTGCACCAGGTGTGCAGTGGGCAGGCACCATCACACTTGCCGCTATTCACCGGCGGGCATTCCCACCTGCCAGTGGGGGTGGCTCTGGCTGGGGTCACCTCTGTGCCTGCCCCACAGCCCTTCCACTCTGCCTCCATAGAAACAGCTGGAGATGGACGGAATTGCTCTCTCAGGCAGCTGTTCAGTCAATCTTAGCTCACGCTGGATCCCAGATCTGTCCCTCCCCAGGAGCGCTCAGCTCTCCACTCTGCCCCATCCTGCAGCTTCGGCTTTGACTCAGACAGGCCGGGAGATCCCTGGTATTTCTGGTCAGATGCCTGCCGTGGGGAGAAGAAGAAAACTCTGGAGCTGGCTAGGCCCAGGTCCTCACCAGGCTTGGGCAAGGTCTCCTGGACATCGACGGGCCTCACTTTCCCCATTCGGCTGTGGTGATGCACGCTGTGAAAGGCTCTGAGCTGGACCAGGGTCTCAGTTTCCCCTATGTGGTTGGGGCACATGTTGTGAGCAGCTCTGAGCTTGACCAGGGCCTCAGTTTCCCCTATGTGGTTGGGGCACATGTTGTGAGCAGCTCTGAGCTGGACCAGGGCCTCAGTTTCCCCTATGTGATTGGGGCACATGTTGTGAGCAGCTCTGAGCTGGACCAGGGCCTCAGTTTCCCCTATGTGGTTGGGGCACATGTTGTGAGCAGCTCTGAGCTCGACCAGGGCCTCAGTTTCCCCTATGTGATTGGGGCACATGTTGTGAGCAGCTCTGAGCTGGACCAGGGCCTCAGTTTCCCCACGTGGCTTTGGCACACGCTGTGAGTGGCTCTGAGCTGGACCAGGGCCTTTCCCATGCCATGTACCTCAGTGCGTCCCTGAAACTGTCAGAGTGACCTGAGTGACCTGTGTCAGGCGGTGACCGCCCAGCCCTTGCACCTCAGACCTCCTGGATGGAGAGGACACTCAGCTCACAGGGCAGTCTGACGAGAAGCCTCTGGAGCTGTGGAATGGCTCAGGCTGCCGGACTGGGGGCCAGGTCCCCTTCGGCCTGAAAACAGCCGCCATCTCAGCTGGCCGGGAGCCCCGCCTTGCCTGGAGTTCAGTGGTATCAGGCCAGGCTCAGAGCAAACACGGCCTGAAAGCCGTGACAACGGGCTGCCGTGCTGGGCTTTGTCTGAGCTGACGCTCGGGGACTTAGGGAGGCTCTCGAGTTCAGAGCCAGGGCCCCTCCTGGCACAGCTCAAAGTGCATCGTGCTCCCGGAGGCCCCCATTCATGGGCTGAGCAAAGGGCTCGGGGGTTGGCGAATTTGCCCCCATCCGTGGGGGCGAACACAGCTCTGTTGGCGCACTCACTGCCGACAGCATTTCTTCTCAAAAGAATCCAAGAGATTTCTCCAAAGAACAGCAGCTTTGTTCATGGGAATAAGTTCAGAACTCCTACTGGTGTGCTCTGAAAACTGGTCATTCATGTTCTCATGCATTTGCCGTTATAGCCACATTCTTGAGTGTGAGCAAAGGCTGGGCTTGCTGTCCCTCCAGACATTTGGGGAATTGGGGGCCACGCTGAGCCCAGGGGTGAAGCAGAGCCCAGTGGTGCTGGGGACCCACTGCAGGGGCAGGCCCATGCCTTCAGCTGGGTTGGATCACAGCCTGGCCCCCTCCTGACGCAGCCTCAAAGAGCCTGAGAGGTGGGCACCTGTGGCGGCAGGAGGAGGGCCGGTTGCTGCCTCCGGATGTGCGGGGCACTCAGCTCCTCTCACGTCTGTGGAACCTCCACCTGTTTTGCTTTGAACGTGGAGCCGCCTAGACTGGCAGGGCTCGGAGCAGCCAGAATTGGCCCCGGTCACCCTGGAGGCCCAGAGCCATCGGGTGGGGGAAGGGCTGGTTTGTCACAGCCGTCTCGGCCTGTGTGGAGCTCTCCCTGCCTGGGGAGGCTGCGTGGCCTCGCTCAGGGTTCTGTTCACACTGCTGGGCGGGGGCCAAGGTCGTTCACAGGCAGAATCTCTGACCCGAGTCTCAGCACCAAGACCCCTGTGGTCACCCCTTCACCAACGCACAAACAGTGGACCCAGGGCCCTGGGGTTGGTGATCTTGTGGCCAGGGGGTTCTGACCTCCTCAGGGTCGCCAGGCCCAAGCCCCCTCCTGGCTCTGTCCGCCTAGAAGGAAGAGGCATTGCCTAAACCTGGAGACAGTGCTGGATGCCCAGGTGCACTGCTGCTGAGAGTGGAAAGTTCCCACAGAGAGGAACGCCTGCAGCCGGTGGGGAAGCGGAATTCCTAGGCAGAGCGCAGCGCTCATTTGCACACATTAGCCTTTCAGATCTGGACACCGCTCATGCCAGACCCAGTCGGCACAGAACAGCTGCTGGGGCAGGACTCCGTGTCCCTGAGCTCAGAGTCAAGGGCCTGGCACTCGGGGTCCCCCCCGGCTCCCTCCTGTCCCGAAGTCTCTTCCTTCACAGTCCCTGGACCCCACCGGCAGGTCCACAGGGAGGTGCAGGGCCGTCGTCACCTCATCACTCCCGACTTCACGGAGTGTCTGCACCTGACGCTGAGCCGCGGCCTTCCCTGTCTCTGACCTAACCCTTCCGCGAGTGCCAGCAATCGGGAAGAGCAGTTGTTCACGGAGCCGCTTGGGAACTCACCCCACCTGTGCCGACCCCAGCACAAACCTCAACCTCCTGCAGGCGGGGCTGGCTCAGCACAGGGTAGGGGGTGACTTGCCAGAGCCCGGGCAGGATTTGTCTCCCAGCCCGGTGCACCACGGCCCCATCCAGGATTCGTCTCCCAGCCCGGTGGACCACGGCCCCATCCAGCCTGTCCTGGCCACTGCTCTGTGACCTCCCAGCCCTGGGGCCCTGCAGAGGCACTTGGGCGCAGACAGGGCAGGCCTGAGACGGCACCTGGAGGGAGGCTGGCTGCTGGGACACTGCTGGGGACCAGTGCTCTCCTCCCTGTCCGAGCGGGGCCAGGTGTCCCCTTCAGGCCTGGCCTCTGACCCTGGCCTGTGACCCTGTAGCTCACGCACGAGGACATCCTGAGTTGACCCAACCTGCCCGAGTCCAGCTGCTTGTCCAGACTCCTGCGAGAAAACCCAGAGCGGAAGTGAGGACTCAGGTCAGCACCCCCATAGGAAGGGGGACCCGGGGTGGACGCGGAGCTGAGGGAATGGCATTCCTCAGCAGTGCTGTGGGTGGTGCAGCCCCCTCCGCATCCCCCTGGGACCTAGCAGGACCCCACATGCTCACTTCCGGCCCCCAGCTGTCCCTGGCTCCAGCCCTGGCAGGGCCCCTGTCTTCTTGGGGTGTGTGTTGGATTTTAGGTGTGCGGAGGCCACAGATGGTAGTAAGCTGGGCCCTGAGGATGGCTTGGGAGATGTGCAGTGGGGCGGGGCCCTTGTCTTCAAGCCACATCTCCCTGTGGGAGGGCCCTGAACCAGCCACCAGCAAGGCCGTGTGGACAGCTGGGACCACCAGGCTGGACCCCAGCAGAGCGCTGGTTTCAGCCGCCTCCTGCCCCCGGCCCCTGCCTTCTGGGACCCTCACCTCACCCTTGCCCCCGCCTCCCCAGGGGCAGGACCCCTCCTCCCAGTTGAGAACCTAGAGGCCTCCCCGTTGGGGGTCGTTGTGGGGAACCCAGAGGCCAGTGAGCCTGAGGCCTCCTGTCCCTTTGCAGTCGGACATCATTGCGGGCCGCTGGCACGCGCCCTGCAGCCGGCGCTCGGTCCCGTGGGTGTCTGTGCTCCCCTGTGGGCAACGTGACCCTGGCAGCGCCCAGCAGTGCTCAGTCTGCCGTGTGCACACAGAGCCCCGTGCTGCCCGCTCGCCGTGCTTGGGGGGCTTGTGTGAGAGGTGTGGACTGTGGGGCCTGAAATGTGCTCCGGGGGCACCTGCGGCCAAGGCCCCCTTCCGAGGTCCCGCTGCCCCTCCCAGACTGCACCGTCCCGGATGCCATCGCTGGGGCCCCACCCCGCCCACCCCACCAAGACCTTGCAGGACCGAGCCCGCAGCCCCTTCATGTGCTACCCCCCGCCCACCCCACAGAGACCTTGTAGGATGGGGCCCATAGCCCCCCAACGTGCTCCCCCAGGCACAGGCTGTCCTGGGGTCAATCGGGCTGTGAGGGAGACTTGTCTTGTGATGGACGTGAACCCTAACTTCCTCCCAGAAAAGGAAGCCACCAGGTTCATGGGATGTAATACGGAGCAAGAGTCAGGATGCTGGAGTGCTCTGAGTCACCGTTGGGTGGCCACTCCCCACCCGCAGCCCACCTGGGCAGGGCGAGCCAGGGACGCAGGCGACAGCTTTGGGTGGAAGACAATATGCAAATCAGGACATTTTTCCTCGTGGTTCAGAAGTGCTTCCTTGACAGGGCTTCAGCCAAGCCCCAGGCAGACGCCAGAGCCGCAGATGCAGAGGCCCAAACAGCCTTTGCTTGCCAGGAAATGCCCCCTGGATGTTTAGATTTCGGGAATAATATTTTCAAAAATCAATCTCTCATGCGTCTGTTGTTTCGGCTGTGACAACAAGGGTGTTTTCCTTGGATGTGTGCACAGGGCCCCCAGCTCCCTGCAGCAGAGTAAGCCCTCGGCAGAGACAAAGTGGACTCTGTCACAGCCCTAACAAGCCGACCACCTGCTGGCTCGCCACTTCCTAGCCGGGCCTTTCTCCCTGAGTGTTGTGTGTTAGTGATTCTGTGACTCTGCCTTTCTCCCTGAGCGTTGTGCGTTAGTGATTCTGTGAGTCTGGCTTTTCTCCCTGTCCGTTGTGTATTAGTGATTCTGTGACTCTGCCTTTCTCCCTGAGCGTTGTGCGTTAGTGATTCTGTGAGTCTGGCCTTTCTCCCTGAACGTTGTGTGTTAGTGATTCTGTGACTCTGCCTTTCTCCCTGAGCGTTGTGTGTTAGTGATTCGGTGAGTCTGACTTTCTCCCTGAACGTTGTGTGTTAGTGATTCTGTGACTCTTTCTCCCTGAGCGTTGTGCGTTAGTGATTCTGTGAGTCTGGCCTTTCTCCCTGAGCGTTGTGTGTCAGTGATTCTGTGACTCTGACTTTCTCCCTGAGCGTTGTGTGTTGGTGATTCGGTGAGTCTGACTTTCTCCCTGAGCGTTGTGTGTTAGTGATTCTGTGAGTCTGACTTTCTCCCTGAGCGTTGTGTGTTAGTGATTCTGTGACTCTGCCTTTCTCCCTGAGCATTGTGACTTAGTGATTCTATGAGTCTGGCTTTTCTCCCTGAGCGTTGTGCATTAGCGATTCTGTGACTCTGGCTTTTCTCCCTGAGCGTTGTGTGTTGGTGATTCGGTGAGTCTGACTTTCTCCCTGAGCGTTGTGTGTTAGTGATTCTGTGAGTCTGACTTTCTCCCTGAGCGTTGTGTGTTAGTGATTCTGTGACTCTGCCTTTCTCCCTGAGCATTGTGACTTAGTGATTCTATGAGTCTGGCTTTTCTCCCTGAGCGTTGTGCATTAGCGATTCTGTGACTCTGGCTTTTCTCCCTGAGCGTTGTGTGTTAGCGATTCTGTGAGTCTGACGCTGCACAAGTGGGCGATGCTTTGCTCCGGCCGGCTCACCTCCCCGATGAAAGCCCGCTCAACGGCATCTGCAGGGCACTGCCCACCCCACCGCGGGGCTGAGACACCTTCCCTAGCACGGCCTCGCGTCTACAGAAAGCCGCTGAGAAGGCAGGTGGGGTCCGGCGCTGCCCACCGTTCTCCAGCCGTGCTGGCCACCACTGGGCTCCCAGACCAAGGCCCATGGACTGTCCCCCATGCCTGTCTACCGTGAATACACTCATTGCTCAGTCTCTAACTTCCCTATTTAGAGACTGAGTATTATACACTCAGAAAAATAACAACAGCTCACGGCTGCTGGCCCCTTGCGGGTCCCTACCCGGGTTTCATCTGATACCTGTGGGAACCTGGTGCGGCCAGCCTGGCATTCACCTCCACTCCTAATCCCATTTTAAAACAAGGAAGCGGAAGGCTTCAGTGGCCGGCCATGGGTCACGCAGTCACAGAGCCAGGCCCCGCTCCCTGCCAGGCCCCACTCTGCTGGCCTCGCTGTGGACGTTCTCACCGAGTGGCAGCCGTGTCTGCATTGGCCCGAGGGCCTGGGGGAATCCCGTTCCCACACTGGTTGGCTGTGCTGCCTCTAGGGAGTCACTTGGCCTCTCTGTGCCCAGCGTTCTCATCTGTCAGGTGGGGGTCACACCATGCCAGCCCACTGCTGCCGGGGAGGTCCCTGGCCCAGGGCCAGTGAGTGTGGGCACAGCTGCCCTGCACAGGAGAAGGCGGCTCTGCGTGGATGGAAGTCGTGATGGTCACAGTTGAGCCACTGCCCAGGCGTGAGGTCAACACAGAGCTGAGCCAGAAGGAATCCACTCAGCCCACGAGCTCAGGGTTGGTTGGTGGGCCAGTGGGAGGCTGGTGATTTGAGAGGAGAATAAGGCGTGAGGTCAACACAGAGCTGAGCCAGAAGGAATCCACCTAGCCCACGAGCTCAGGGTTGGTTGGTGGGCCCGTGGAAGGCTGGTGATTTGAGAGGAGAAGAAGGTCACGGATGCTGACGTTCCATCAGTTCACTGATTGACCCACGGCCCCGGGTCGCAGGCGTTCCGCTAGTGGCCAGCGCATCATCAGCCACGTTCTTGGCGTGCCGCTCCTGCGGGTCTCACCCCCTTCACAGGGAAGCCCCCAGATTCTCCTCCAAAGCCTGGA
The DNA here is from genome assembly GCF_000001405.40 of Homo sapiens. Lineage (NCBI taxonomy): Eukaryota > Metazoa > Chordata > Mammalia > Primates > Hominidae > Homo > Homo sapiens. The sequence goes on along the minus strand of NT_187550.1, from coordinate 90,166 downwards.
GTCACCGACGGCAGAAGCAGGGCTGAAAGGGCACCTGGATGGCCAGGTGGGCAGGCGGCTGTCGGGATGGGGGACCCCGGAACCCCACTGGCCTTGGGCAGCCATCTTGGGGGTTTCAGGAGATGCACAGAGGACAGCGGCTGGGGATGCTCAGCTCTGTCCCATCACCTGTGCCTGCCTGACGATGCCGCCTCAGCCGCCCAGGGCTCCCTCAGGGAAAACGTCGCCAAGCACCGACGGCTCAAGGGAGTAACCGCGCCTCTGGGAGATGGCGTCCCTGACTTGGCTGTGGCACCAGGCTGGCCAGGGGACTGTTGGAACATTTGCGGAGGAGCACAGTTGCCATTTCCTTCATGCCACACCTGCCCCAGCTTGTGTCTGTGTGTGATGGCACGGTTTGGGCTGGCAGGAGGGGCACGGGTGCTTGGGTGTTCGCTCCAGGGTCTTCCCAAGACCCTGCTAGCACAGGCCTGGCAGCAGTCAGCCAGAGAGAGTCAAGGAAGCAGCCGGCACAGGACCAGCATCTGGCCTGCACTTGTGCCTCCTAAGCCCAGCCCCACATGCGTCTCCCAGCCAGCCTGGAGCTCAGGAGACACAGGCAACAGGCGAGGAGTCCCAACTACACGCACGACGAGGTGTCCTCGGTGGGACCAGGTGATTGAAATAAAGCGTGGTGGCATGTGTGCGTGTGTGTGCATGTGTGTGTCCTCGGAAGGGACACCAGCTCTGTGTGTCTGCAGCTCTAGAGCAGGGACCTCGGCCGGGAGCCTGGCACCTGTCCCGTGGGCTCGCTGGGACAAGCGCTATGCCCACACAAAGCTTTCCCTCTTCTTCCTGCGTCAGCTCGCCTGGGAGGGGCTGTGCACAGAAGAGCTGGCCTCGGGGCTCTGTCTGCTGCCTCGGCAACTGCAGCTCAGGACTCCTGGCTTTGGAGAAGTCGTTGCATGGATCGGGGACCAGAGGCCAGAGGGCCGGGCTGGGAAGAGGAGCTCTCCGGCTGGCAGCTTCTCCGGAAATGAAATCCTCTGCACCCTGGAAGGCAGACTCGCACCCCTGGTGCCCCTACCTACCTGCTGGCCACACGTGGACGGCCGCATCTGGCCTCTCAGATGGGCTGGGAGGTGAGCCCAGTGATGATGCCTCCACCCTCTCTGGCTGTAGTAACCAGCCTGTAGGAAGGGAGCTGCCCACGCCTGGGAACTGCCTTACTTTGCCTGTCCCTGGCCCCCTGACCTTGCCTCCCGGTGCTGTCTGTGAGCCAAGAAAGAAAAGCTGCCATGTCGGGGGTGCTGGCCCTGAGGTTGCTGTGCGCATGAGCCCCCCACAGCTGGACTCTGCGCCAAACATCAATAGAAAACGGCGACAGTAACGTGACCCCCGGCAGAGCTGTCACTGAGGCGGCAGCCAAAGCCCGGTCCCAAAGCTCCTCCTCAAATGGGGTGGGTGCAGGCATCAGGGCTGCACCGGGGCCAGGGCACCGGGGCTCCCTGCAGCGGGTCCTGGGTGTGCGGCCGAGGTGTGTCTGCTGTGCCCCCCAGCCCCTCCCCACCCGTGACCTTGGCATCGATCACAAAAGGGAAGGCTCTTATCAATCAGTGCTTTGCTGTCCTTCTCATTCAATCTTTATCAAGCGACAGCTCCGCACTGGGCGACACCGTGGGGTGTGTAATTATTCATTAACTGGTGCTAATTAATGTTTATGTAGACATTCATTGTGTTGTGTGCCACGCACTGCCAACAGCCACCCAGAGGCTTCCATTCAAGAGGGCTGTCCCAGTTGTGTCGGCAGCTGCCTCTGCAGACCCCCTGCCTCCCTGGCGGGCCAGGCTCCCCCTCTGGGCCCCTCACCCGCTCTGGGGAGCTGCCCGGATGCCCCCTCAGCACCCACCCTGAGAGCACGGGGGCACTCCCTTCCCCTGAATCAGCTCGCGATCTCCACGCCAAGCCCTGGCCTCCCCTCCCATCTCCACGGCCCTGCCTCAGCCTCAGCTCTGTGCCCCTCCCCTGTGTCCCCGGCTCCTCTCCTGTGTAGCCCGCCCCTACTCCCTCCATCCAGAGAGGTCCAGCCTGGATGCCCACGCCTCCCATCTTCTCACTGATCTGTCCCCACGACACAGCTCCGCCAGGGTCACCGAGGCCTCTGTGCTGCCTCATGGCAGGGCTGGAGCTGGGATGGCCTCTCTGGATTTTGGGCCTGTGGCTCTCGCCCTCTGCCTCCTTCCCAGCCCTTCGCCCTGGAGCGGGGCAGCCTTGTTTCTCCTGACTTTCTGGGCATGGTCTCTCAGGCTTTGGGTCCTTCCTGACTCAGGGATCTCAGCTCGGAGCCACCTCCTCCAAGAAGGCTCCCGGCTGCACCCACTTCAGGCACCTTCTGTCCTAATGCCCGTCTCCCTCCTGGCCTGCTGCCCCGTCCTTCTCTCCAGGACGACTTTGAAGCCATCCCAGATGTGCTATGATTTCATCTCCAATAATAATAATAAAAGCAACAATGTGTGCAGCTGAGGGGTCCTGATATGCATTGCGGGGCCTCACAGGGGCTTGGACCATGCTCGGCCTTGGACAGACACAGCCGGGAGGGAAGCATCCCGCTCCTGTTAACACACGTGACCCGCAGGCTCTGCAGGACATGCCGGCTCTTTTGCACAACCTCTTGGTGCAGCAGGGGGGTGTTGAGGGACCAGGAAGGGTTTGGTCCCCTCCTCCACCCCCTCTGCCTCCCTCCCCATCAAGTGGGCTGCCCGCCTCCTGGGTTGGGTCCTGGCTCCTCTGGAGGGGCTGCTGTGCCCACCGCCCTCCTTGCCATCTCTTCTGGCCTGGGGTTGGGGAGGGGGCTGGCAAGGGCGAGGCTTCTCATCCATCTTGCAGGGCTTGCCTGGGGCCACAGGGCTGCGCTGGCCTGGGGGGCTCTGTGCGCCTTGGGCTGGGGCGAGGCAGCTGCCCTCCGACCTCCAGGTCACTGAGGATGGGGTGCCGCCCTTCCCCCAGGGGCAGGTCACGTGGGGTGCCCCGGACAGGTCAAGGAAGGGGCTCTCATGCCTGGGGCTGGTTGGGGCCACCTGGGGGGGAAGGTGACAGTGCTCTTGTCCCCAACCCTGGGCTGCCTGGTAAGACCTGAGGGTCTGGGATGAGCTCAGGGCCTGCAGCCCTCTGATGTCTGCACAGACACAGCTCTGTGGGAAGCAGGTGCCCTGGTGAGACCCTTTCGCCTCTGGGCCCCTCCACCTTCCCCTGCTCCTCACAGATGCCCCCTGCCCATCACAGGGCCTGAGGCAGAGGCTTTGAGGGGGCGGGGCCTGGAGAGGGCCTGGGGCGGGGCATGGGGGAGATGGGCGTGGTAAGCAGGTGGAGCCTCTTGAGGATGACACTGGGGTGGGGCTGGGGAGGGGCCGGGGCCCTAGGCTGACCCCGGGAGGGAGCATCACCCTCAGCTGCAGGCAAGGGACGGGGCTGCTGGTGAGAAGCTCAAGCACAGGCCCTCAGTGAGGCAGGGAGAAAATGGCACAACCGCGGTGCCTTCCTAGGACTCTGGCTGTGCTGTGGGAGTCGGTGCTGTCCACTCTGTTTGAAGCTCTCAGGTGGAAGGGGCAGGTGGGGCATCTGAGGCACCGACCTCAGCTCCCAGCCCTGAGCAGAGGACGAAGGAGCCCAAGGTCCGGGAGAAGCCCCTTTTCCCATCTCTGGGGCATGGGAGGGGCCTGCACTGGCTGAGACCCAAGTTTCCAGCAGGTGAACATCGGTCCTGGTCCCACGTGCAGGGCAAGGACGACCCTGAAAAGCCCCTGAAAAGCTGGGGTGCCCACCGTGTCTCTGAAAGGCTGACGTTCCCACCGCATCTCTGAAAGGCTGACGTTCCCACCGCGTCTCTGAAAGCTGGCGTGCCCACCACATGACGTTCCCACTTCATCTTCTTAGGTGCTTTTCTTGAAAAGTTTTGTTTTTGTTTTTGTTTTTTTTTTCAGGTAACAAACTGTCACCAAGGTCATGCCTAGGCCCTGTCTTGACAGCCCTCAGTGGCCCCGGTGTGTCCCCTGGGAGCACAGGCCCCATGGGTGGCCCGGCTCTGACCCCACGGGCCCTTCCTTCTGCCGAGGGCACTTCTCAGGCTTGGGTGCACAGGGCTTGGGTGTGTGGCTCCTGCCTGGGGCCCACTGAGCCCTGAGCTGCACCAGGCCTCGACCTCGGAGCTGAGGTCTGGGTCATCCTCCCAGGGAGGGTCTGGGAGACCTCAGGTCAGAGTATCCCACAGACCCCACAAGTGACATCCCAGCTCCTCAGGCCAAATCTCCTGGACCCCAGAAGGAGCAGCTGTATCAAGAGGAAGGCTTTGGTGACGCTGCTGCAGGGACAAGGACTGCTCCGTATGGCAGAGCCAGGTGCGAGGGGCTCGGGTGCGACGGGGAAGCTTTGGCAGCAGGAAGCAGAGGCGCGGGACAGCGGGAGGGAGGGTCTGGTGTTCTAGTGCTCGGTGGAGGACCGCTGAACGTGCTTAGGCAGTGACATGAAAGCCATCAGGGCAGAGGGACAGGCAGAGGCCCCAGCATGCGAGAGGCAGGTGGGCGTGCGGGGTGCAGGGACCTGCGGAGGACATGGAAAGGTGTCAGCTGAGGGCCCTGATGTGTCTGGGGTCACCTGCGGAGGAAGGTCCAGGGGAGGAGCCTGCTGCAGGCGGGTGGGGAGGGTCTCAGCACCACAGCAGCCGGGGCCAGGGCTGGGCTGCAGGGCCAGGTGGGTCCAGTGAGTGTGCTCAAGCCGCCTCGTGGAGGGGAACTGGCAGAGTGCTGAGCAGAAGCCAAGGTGCCGCCACTCGAGGGGCCGGATGCTGGGGTCCCAAGAATGGTAAAGTGGGGAAAGCCGCTGAGGGCCTGGATGCTGGGGTCCCAAGGATGGTAAAGTGGGGAAAGCCGCTGAGGGCCTGGATGCTGGGGTCCCAAGAATGGTAAAGTGGGGAAAGCCGCTGAGGGGCCGGATGCTGGGGTCCCAAGAATGGTAAAGTGGGGAAAGCTCTGAGGGGCTGGATGCTGGGGTCCCAAGGATGGTAAAGTGGGGAAAGCCGCTGAGGGCTGGATGCTGGGGTCCCAAGGATGGTAAAGTGGGGAAATAGGACAACAGTGTCGGAGCTGGTGCTGGGCTTAGTTGGAGACACCCAAGGCCTGGTGCAGCTGAGGGCTCAGTGGGCCCCAGGCAGGAGCCACACACCCAAGAGCCTGAGGTTGAGGCTACAGCGGAGGCCAGAGGGAGCTGGGCTATGGAGGAGGATGCAAGGGTTCTGGGGCATCACCCTGTGGGCATTTGAGGTCCCCAGGACAATGGCAGGACAGGAAAGCCAGGTCTTTGAGGGTCCTGAGCACACGCCTGGGACAGCAGCTCTGGCCCACAAAGGCTATAGTGCCCTTGGAGCCTGGGGGGCTCTGGGCAGGGCCCACGGCTGAGTTGCCTGGAGCCTGGGGTGAGGGGTCCAGGACAGACACTGGGAAAAATCACCTGTGGTGACCCCCGCCTGGCCCTGCATCCCTCAGTGGCTCAGAGGTGGCCCGAGGTCACGCCGAGGCTCCGTCCTCTCCTCAACCCCGTGTGGTTTACCACGTCCTCATCAGCCAGGGGGTGACTAACTGCCAGGAACAATTGGCAAATGGGACCGTGGGTGGGAGCCCATCCATCCTCCAAGCCCACGGTCCAGGCCAGCGCAACAGCTTTCCAGACCACAGGCTCCTGTCGGGGATTTCAGAAGATCCGGAAATCATTTTACGACCGCATTACCTTTAGCCAACCTTGCTCATTGGAGGAAGGTGAAGGTTTGGGGAAGTAAACGCAGCCGCGAAGCCCCAGCCCAGTGCTCTGCCCGTGAGGCCGTGGGAGGGGCTGGTCTCACTTCCACTTCCACTTCCTGTTTAATTTTCATAGGCTTTAAAATCACACAGGCAGAGTAGGGAGGGCAGGCGCTGCCCTAGCAGAGAGCTGGGTCAGATGTGGGTTCACAGGTGGAGCCTGGCACATTCGTCCCCGAGAGTGAACAAACAGCACCCCGGGCCCGGCTGCCCATTCCTTGGGATAGGAGGACAGCAGGACAGGAGGCATCGAGGACACAGCAGCTTCCTGCTCTCACACGCTGAGGGGCCGGGGCCAGGCCTTTGCGCACCAGGCATCCCCTCAGTAGGACTCAAGGCACTGCACGCCCCCCAGGGGTCTCCTTCCTGCCTCCAGTCAGGCTGTGGGACCTGAAGCTCCCCAGGGGCCTTGTCTGGCTTGGCTCTGAGGTGGGTCCCAAGTGTCACATGAGCCTGGTGAGACACAAAACCCAAACAGGGCCAGGAGACCACCAGGGAGGCCAATGCTCTTGGGGTGTGGGTTGGAGGGGCCAAGCCTCTGAAGCTGGTGTCCCCGCCTGCTGGCCATGTTGGGGTGCCTGTCTCGTGCCACCTGCTTGCAGGCCAGGGGGTTGTCACTGTATTTCCTCCAGGTCCTGTGCTGCTCAGGACTCCCTGACCCACTGGAGGGGATTAGCAGCTGAGGACAGCTCTGAGAAGCCTGGTCGGCCCCGGGTCCTGCCCAGGCATCTTCAGCTGCGTCTCCTCACCGGGTCTCTGAGTGAGAGACGAAGCCAGCTGGACTTCCTGGGTTGAGTAGGGACTTGAAGAACTTTTCTGTCTTACAAGAGGATTGTAAAATGCACCAATCAGCACTCTGTAGCTAGCTAGAGGTTTGTAAAATGCACCAATCAGTGCTCTGTAAAAACGCACCAACCAGCACTCTGTAGCTAGCTAGAGGTTTGTAAAATGGACCAATCAGCACACTGTAAAATGTTCGAATCAGCACTCTGTAAAATGGACCAATCAGCAGGACATGGGTGGTGACAACTAATGGAACAAAAGCTGGCCACCCCCCAGCCAGCAGCAGCAACCTACTCTGGTCCCCTTCCATGCTGTGGAAGCTATGTTCTTTCCCTCTCCACAATAAATCTTGCTGCTGTTCACTGTTTGGGTCCACACCACCTTTAAGAGCTGTAACACTCACCGCAAGGGTCCGTGGCTTCATTCCTGAAGTCAGCGAGACCATGAACCCACCGGAAGGAACAAACTCCAGACACATGAGGACCTGTCTGTGCATGAATGCAGCTGTGTGTGCTGTGACAAAAGCAGCTCTGTGGGACATAGGAGTGCTGGGTGTGGGGGTCCCAACCAGATGACCTACCGGGACCTGTGGGCCCAGTGCTAGCCAGGTCTTAGTCAATGCCACTTAAACTAGCCAATTGGAGGCCCTTTTCCACTGGACATGCTGCCGGACTCATCTCCCCTTCTGGACTGAGGGCCTGAGGCCTGAGACTCCATGACCTGTGGGTCAGCACGGGCCAACCGCCTCAGTGGATGGAGCCCAGAGGCTGGATGTGGCCAAGGGCCTGAGTTCTATGGGGCCTTAGGCATCCTGGTGCCCCTTCCCATGGGGTGGGCAAGGCCCGCTGGAGGTTGTGAGGTGTCGAGAGCTGCAGGACATACCACAGGGCGGACGGCAGGCTCCTGGTGGCCACAGTGGGCCCCTGACCACTGACTTTGCAGAATGTGGCCAACTCTTTGTGGAGGGGGAAGAGGGAAGCTGACTCTGCCATGGCCTCTGGGGGTGTCCGTGCTGTGTCAGCAAGTGGGTCTTGGGTGCTCATGGGACCCTGCTGAAGCATCCTTGCTGGGGCCTTCCATAGAGCAGTCACTTAACTGTCTCAGGCCTTCTTCTCGTACAGGCTCTTCCATGGGGTTTTGCTCCCCTAGGGTCCAGCAGCTGAAAGCACAGCAGCCTCCCTGGCTCTTCTCAAGGCCAGCGTCCAAGGAGGGATTGCTGGGGCTGCAGGGAGCACAGGCAGGGCCTCCACCCTGGCCCACCACACTCGCTGGGCAGAGCCCCGCACAACCAGCCCTGAAGCCTGGGATTGCACCTGCTACCCTGCAGGCTAGGTCCTGTTCCAGCCCCAAGCTTTCTCTCCTCCTGTCCTGGCCCCTACAGGTCACGGTGGCTCTGGGAGCCCTGGGAAGGCCCGGGAAAGAGGAGGTCAGGGAAAGTGACTTTGCTTGTCCCTGCAGGGTCTGGAGCAGCTGCCAGGGCTTATCAGGAGGAAAGTCTACCCCGAGGTCACACCTGTCCTTGTGTGGTCCCAGCACTGACATTGGGCAGTCCTATGACCATGCCACCCGGGAGCTTTTTTCAGAAGTGGTGCTAGTGCCAGGCTGTGACCCCAACACCAGCTGCCCTGCCCTATGAGGCCAGCCCTGGGGTCTCCGGATGGCCTTTTGCCGTCCTTTGCCCTTTACCCGACTGGAGACTGAGGCTTGGCTGTCTTAATCCCTGAATGGCCTTGTTCTCGGCTGGGGCGCCATATACTTGGGGCCAAAACCGGGTTAAGGATGGGGCGAGCGGCTCGGGAGACAGCCCCTCCTACCAATAAAGTTCACAGAATTACAGGGCTTGGACTTTGTGACACCTGATTATGTCTGTTGCGACACCCACTTCCTGCTCCCGGATAACTGAGGCAGGAGAGGCCACCCCACAGCTTGTGGGGCTTGAATGGCCAGGAATGGGGTTCCCACCTGCTGCTGCCTCTGTCCAAAGACCAGGATGGGGACTGGGAAGCCTCATGTTTAAAACTTGGACTCAGAGGGTCTCCAGGTGCACCCTGCAGGGACCCTCACCCCTCTGAGTCCAAGTTTTAAACAAGGGACAAGGCGTGCCACTTTGGAGTCAGAGTTGCTTCAAAGTGGGGGCTGTAGCCTGGAGGCCTAGACAATGGCTGCCAGGCTGACTGGGCAGTGGAGAGGGTGAGTGCTGGGGGCACCGAGGGCAGTGCCGGGGCCTCAGGAGCAGCTGCCCAAGGATGGCTCTTCCCTGGACCCTCATCGCAGGCCCGCCCCCTCCTAGAGACCCAGTGGGCTGCAGCCTGTCCAGGTAGGGTGGGGCTGGGGGTACGAACTGTGCAGCCCTCAGAAGCTGCAGACCTGGGTCCACTGCCCCTTCGCTGGGAGTCTTGGCACGGGAGATGGTCAGGGCCACAGGGGCCAGGCAGCCAGGCCCATGACCTTGGGTGTGGTCTGCCCAGGACAACCCTCCCACACCGGCCCACCCCTGGGCCACCTGCCACCGTGAATCCAATGCAAGGCTGTTGTGACACTCACTCCCTGCTCCCAGATAACTGAGGCAGGAGAGGCCACCCCACAGCTTGTGGGGCTCGCTGGCCAGGGATGGGGCTCCCACCTGCTGCTGCCTTTGCTTTGCTTGCCTGACGCTGAGGCACCAGGTTGGAGGAAGCCCTGGCTCTGTGGGGGGGATGCAGGAGCTGGCACCTCACCTGCCTGCTGTGTGTCAGGGCTGGTGTCAAGCCTCCCGCCCAGAAGGGGGCTGGACGTGCTGGACAGTGGCAGGACAAACCGCCAGTGCTGGATTCCACATAGGCTGTGCGCTGTGGGTTCATGCTGCGTCTGCCTAGCGCAGGCAAACGAGTCCAGCTCTGCCCAAACAGGCCGCCTCGCACTGGGAGCAGAGCCTCACCAGGATGCTGCACGTGGCACCTCCTCCCTCCCGTCTCTGCAGGTGCCGACTCGCTGGTGCTCAGTAGCCAGAAATGCACAGTAAATAGGTGTCCTTCGATTCCAAGGAATAAATACCACTTTTTGTCCCACTTTAATATGCCACACAATAATCTGTCTTTGGATTGGGATGCAGTGACGTGAGACATCTTGGTAAAGTCAAAACTGTCTCTCTCAGTTCCGGTAGCTTCAGATCCGACTGCTCTGAACCAGCAAACAGAGACTCCAAATCACAAACCTCCCTGGGAGCCACAAAGCCATTCCCTTTCTCTCACAGGAGCCCATCTATTACTTGTGTTTGAGACACGGCCACCTCAGCGTGTCTCCGTGCTGATTCCCACTGCCCTGAGCCCTGGACAGGGGACCTGTGAGGGCCTCTCACCCCCAGGCAAGGCCACGCCAGTGTGAGCAGCAGCCAGGCTTCTGCTTTTTGAGGGTGCGGAGACGCAGCAGTAAGGAGACAGGACGTCACTCTCAGAGAGCTCCTGACCTCTGCCCCACACACCAGAGACACGTCAGCTCCCGTGGGCCCCAAAGAGAGAGGGCACTCGGCTTAGGGGAGTCTTCCTGGAGGAAGTGATGCTGGGGGCGAGTCCTGAGGGCGGGATTAGCAGGCAAAGGAGAAGGGAAGAAAGTGGCCCAGCAATCCGTTGATTTTAAATGGTGAATCATTTTTCTGCACCACTCACACTGCCAGAAAGAATGAACTGTGGTCCCAGCTTAACATTCTCCAAATGCCTAGCAGGGCATCATGCAACCTCGGGTAGAATCATCCATTTCCCATGGGTTGGCAATGCTGTCTCTGTGATATGCCATTTCCGTATACACCTGAGTCTAGTTCTGGAATTCCAGTTTCTTTTCCCTTAATCCATCTTCACATTCTGGTACCAATCTACCTGAAACTCTACTCGCTGAAATGGTCGATTATGCTCTTCCCTTGATCCGTCTTCACGTTCTGGTACCGATCTACCTGAAACTCTACTGGCTGAAATGGTCGATTATGCTCTTCCCTCGATCCGTCTTCACGTTCTGGTACCGATCTACCTGAAACTCTACTGGCTGAAATGGTCGATTATGCTCTTCCCTCGATCCGTCTTCACGTTCTGGTACCGATCTACCTGAAACTCTACTGGCTGAAATGGTCGATTATGCTCTTCCCTTGATCCGTCTTCACATTCTGGTACCGATCTACCTGAAACTCTACTGGCTGAAATGGTCGATTATGCTCTTCCCTTGATCCGTCTTCACATTCTGGTACCAATCTACCTGAAACTCTACTGGCTGAAATGGTTGATTATGCTCTTCCCTCGATCTGTTTTCACATTCTGGTACCAATCTACCTGAAACTCTACTGGCCGAAATGGTTGATTATGCAAACCCAGCAAGTGAAGAGTCATAAATAAATGATGCTTCAATTTGAATTTTAATGATATGGAAAAATGTTCTCTGTGTGATGTGAGGGAAAAAAATCAACATCTACATATGCAAATTGATGCATATTGTGATTGTCTGAGGAATATTCTATATGCACAGAAAAGTGACTGGGCTGAAATGTAATTGGATCTTAACAATGCTCTAGATAGTAAGATTTGGGATGGGTTTTACTTTATTAACTTTTAGTTTTCTATAGCTTCTAATTGTTTTTAAATAGTGAACACACATGGCATACACACAAATGAATAAAGAGTTATTTTGAAAAGTGAGGCCGGGCATGGTGGCTCATGCCTTTAATCCCAGCACTTTGGGAGGCCGAGATGGGCAGATCACGAGGTCAGGAGATTGAGACCATCCTGGCTAACACAGTGAAATCCCATCTCTACTAAAAATAAAAAAAATTAGCCAGGCGTGGTGGCAGATGCCTGTAGTCCCAGCTACTCGGGAGGCTGAGGCAGGAGAATGGCATGAACCCAGGAGGTGGAGCTTGCAGTGAGCCAAGATCACGCCACTGCACTCCAGCCTGGGTGACAGAGCGAGACTCCATCTAAAAAAAAAAAAAGAAAAGTGAGTTCACTTCCTCCTCCAGCTGTGATGGAGTCACTGGATCAGGTTTACCACCTGCCTGAAACAAACAAACTAGAAAACAATACGGGAAACAAAGGTTTTGAAGACACTGGACACTGGACAACATAGGACAGTCATCCCTAAGACAGGGGGAAGCAAATTAACAATGTACTATGGGATTATATTAGGTTGGTGAAAAAGTAATTGCGGTTTTTTGCATATGTGAAAAGAATGCATGGCTTAAATAGCAGGAAGGCTGGGAGGAAAGATATGGAAGATGCTGCTGTAAGGTTGTTAACTGGTATAATATCAATAAAGGTAGACGGTGATAAACCAAAGATGTATATTATAAGCCCTAAAGCCATCACTGAACACAACAAAGAATAATAGCTAAAAACTGAACAAAAGAGATAAAATGGAATCTTAGAAAAATAATGCAAAGGAAAACAGAAAAAAAGGAGAAAGAGAATGAACAGAGATAGGACAAATAGAAACAAATAGAAAAATGGTAGATTTATTTTTATTTTTTGAGACAGAGTCTCACTCTGTTGCCCAGGCTGGAGTGCAATGGTGCAATCTTGGCTCACTGCAACCTCTACCTCCCAGGTTCAAGTGATTCTCCTGCCTCAGCCTCCTCAGTAGCTGAGATTACAGGCGTGTGCCACCACGCCTGGCTAATTTTTGTATTTTGAGTAGAGACAGGGTTTCACCATGTTTGGCCAGGCTGGTCTTGAACCCCTGGCCTCAAGTGATCTGCCCACCTCGGCCTCCCAAAGTGCTGGGATTACAGGCATGAGCCACCGTGCCTGGCCTGAAAAATGGTATATTTAAACTTAGCCTTATCATCAATCATATTAAATATAAATGATCTAAATATCCCAATTAAAAAGCAAAGTTGTCAGATTGAAAAAAACAAACCAAAACCTAACTGTGTGCCCCCTTTAAGAAACACACGTTAAATACAAAGGCACAGATAAGCAATAAATAGAAGACTGGGCAAAAATACACCATGCTAATCCTTATCAAATAAATCTGGAGGTGTTAAATTAGTATCAAAGTTGGAAACAACTCAATGTGCCTCAACAGGTCTGGGGATAAATAGATTGTGGTACATCCATACAATGGTAGACAGCTGAGATCTAAAAAGGAATGAAATATTGATACATGTAAAACCATAGATAAATGTCAAAATTGTTTTCTGAGTGAAATAAGGCAAACCAAAGAAAGGTAGTTAGTGTATTATTACATTTCTATGAAATTTATAGAAAATGCCAACTAGTCAATAGCGACAGAAAGCAGATCAGTGGCTGCCCGGGGGTTGGGAGGAGAGAGGTGTTGCAAAGACGAAGGAGAAATCTTTGGATGGATGGAGATTGTTCTTTATCTTGTTTATGGTGGTGGTTTCACCAGTGTGGACACATGTCAAACCATCAAATTGACACTTTATGTAGTTTACTGTATGTCAATTATACCTCAGTAAAGCTGTTAAATAAAAAGTGGATGCATGGAAAGTTTTATAGCACCTCTTGTTAAAAAAAAAAAAACAACCTCTAAATTTAGGTGATTCTCAGTTCTGAGTGGCTCTCAGTTGGTTACTGCACCAGAATCCGTGGTTTTTCATTCCTGTCCTAGAGCAAGCCCCAGAAGCTGGAAGATTTTCATCAAGAGGCCAGGCGCAGTGGCTCACACTTGTAATCCCAGAACTTTGGGAGGCCGAGGCGGGTGGATCACCTGAGGTCAAAAGTTTGAGACCAGCCTGACCAAAGTGGTGAAACCCCATCTCTACTAAATATACAAAATTAGCCGGGCATGGTGATATATGCCCGTCATCCCAGCTACTTGGGAGGTGGGGGCAGGAGAATCACTTGATCCCAGGAGGTGGAGGTTGCAGTGAGCCGAGGTCACGCCATTGCACTCCAGCCTGGGCAATAAGAGTGAAACTTCATCTCAAAAATGAATAAATAAATAAAATATATAAAAAAGATTTTCATCAAAAGATGTCACATCCAGGACCCAGGCTTGACCAGGAGAAATAAGGGTCCCCTGGGTGGGCTGTGAGGGGACTCCGGGTGGAGGACCCAGGAGAAGCATCTACAGTGGCTGTTAACTTCAGAGGTAAAGAAAACACCAGATGATGACAGAGAGATTTCTGATGGCAACAGGTGACAGCGTCAGCTGGAGAAAAATGAAAACTGCAGCTACAACCTCACATCTCTAACAAGCCTACAGCCCAGCCTCCCATCTCTAACAAGCCTACAGCCTCCCATCTCTAACAAGCCTACAGCCTCCCATCTCTAACAAGCCTACAGCCTCCCATCTCTAACAAGCCTACAGCCTCCCATCTCTAACAAACCTACAGCCTCCCTTCTCTAACAAACCTAACAGCCTCCCATCTCTAACAAACCTAACAGCCTCCCATCTCTAACAAACCTACAGCCTCCCATCTCTAACAAGCCTACAGCCTCCCATCTCTAACAAACCTACAGCCTCCCATCTCTAACAAGCCTACAGCCTCCCATCTCTAACAAACCTAACAGCCTCCCATCTCTAACAAACCTACAGCCTCCCTTCTCTAACAAACCTAACAGCCTCCCATCTCTAATAAACCTAACAGCCTCCCATCTCTAACAAACCTAACAGCCTCCCATCTCTAACAAGCCTACAGCCTCCCATCTCTAACAAACCTACAGCCTCCCATCTCTAACAAACCTAACAGCCTCCCCCTTGTCTAACAAACCTAACAGCCTCCCATCTCTAACAAACCTACAGCCTCCCTTCTCTAACAAACCTAACAGCCTCCCATCTCTAATAAACCTAACAGCCTCCCATCTCTAACAAACCTAACAGCCTCCCATCTCTAACAAGTTTCTCCTCCCATCTCTAACAAACCTACAGCCTCCCATCTCTAACAAGCCTCCCATCTCTAACAAACCTACAGCCTCCCTTCTCTAACAAACCTAACAGCCTCCCATCTCTAATAAACCTAACAGCCTCCCATCTCTAACAAACCTAACAGCCTCCCATCTCTAACAAGCCTACAGCCTCCCATCTCTAACAAACCTACAGCCTCATCTCCTGCAACCTAACAACCTCCCATCTCTAACAAACCTACAGCCTATCTCTAACAAACCTAACAGCCTCCCATCTCTAACAAAACAACAGCCTCCCTTCTCTAACAAACCTAACAGCCTCCCATCTCTAATAAACCTAACGGCCTCCCTTCTCTAAAAAACCTAAAGGCCCCCCTTTTGTAAAAAGCCTACGGCCTCCCTTCTTAAAAAACCTACAGCCTCCCATCTCTAAAAAACCTAAGGGCCTCCCATCTCTAACAAACCTACAGCCTCCCTTCTCTAACAAACCTAAGGGAGGCTGTTAGGTTTATTAGAGATGGGAGGCTGTTAGCGGTCCACAACGGAGGCTGTAGGTTTGTTAGAGATGGGAGGCTGTTAGGTTTGTTAGAGATGGGAGGCTGTAGGTTTGTTAGAGATGGGAGGCTGTAGGCTTGTTAGAGTTGGGAGGCTGTTATCTCTAACAAGCTTCAGCTTCCCATTTGTAACAAGCCGACAGCCTCCCATCTCTAACAAGCCTACAGCCTGCCATCTCTAACAAGCGTACAGCCTCCCATCTCTAACAAACCTACAGCCTCCCTTCTCTAACAAACCTAACAGCCTCCCATCTCTAACAAACCTAACAGCCTCCCATCTCTAACAAACCTACAGCCTCCCATCTCTAACAAGCCTACAGCCTCCCATCTTCTCTTTCCTCAGCCTCCCATCTCTAACAAGCCTACAGCCTCCCATCTTAACAAGCGGACAGCCTCCCATCTCTAACAAACCTACAGCCTCCCTTCTCTAACAAACCTAACAGCCTCCCATCTCTAACAAACCTAACAGCCTCCCATCTCTAACAAACCTACAGCCTCCCATCTTTTTCTTCCTACAGCCTCCCATCTCTAACAAACCTACAGTGTCTCCTCTCTAACAAGCCTACAGCCTCCCATCTGTAACAAACCTAACGGTTTGTTAGAAAGGGGAGGCCCGTAGGTTTTTTAGAGAAGGGAAGCTGTAGGTTTTTAGAGATGGGAGGCCTGTAGGCTTTTTTAGAGATGGGGAGGCTGTAGGTTTGTTAGAGATGGGGAGGCTGTTAGGTTTTTAAGAGATGGGAGGCCTTTGGTTTTTTAGAGAAGGGAGGCTGTTAGGTTTGTTAGAGAAGGGAGGCTGGAGGTTTGTTAGAGAAGGGAGGCTGTTAGGTTTGTTAGAGAAGGGAGGCTGTAGGTTTGTTAGAGATGGGAGGCTGTTAGGTTTGTTAGAGATGGGAGGCTGTAGGTTTGTTAGAGATGGGAGGCTGTAGGCTTGTTAGAGATGGGAGGCTGTTAGGTTTGTTAGAGATGGGAGGCTGTTAGGTTTATTAGAGATGGGAGGCTGTTAGGTTTGTTAGAGAAGGGAGGCTGTAGGTTTGTTAGAGATGGGAGGCTGTTAGGTTTGTTAGAGATGGGAGGCTGTAGGTTTGTTAGAGATGGGAGGCTGTAGGTTTGTTAGAGATGGGAGGCTGTAGGCTTGTTAGAGATGGGAGGCTGTTAGGTTTGTTAGAGATGGGAGGCTGTTAGGTTTATTAGAGATGGGAGGCTGTTAGGTTTGTTAGAGAAGGGAGGCTGTAGGTTTGTTAGAGATGGGAGGCTGTTAGGTTTGTTAGAGATGGGAGTTTGTTTTTTGTTAGAGATGGGAGGCTGTAGGCTTGTTAGATATTAGAGATGGGAGGCTGTTAGGTTTGTTAGAGATGGGAGGCTGTTAGGTTTGTTAGAGATGGGAGGCTGTATGTTTGTTAGAGATGGGAGGCTGTAGGCTTGTTAGAGATGGGAGGCTGTAGGCTTGTTAGAGATGGGAGGCTGTTAGGTTTGTTCTAACAGCCTCCCATGAATAATAAACCTAACAGCCTCCCATCTCTAACAAACACCACACCCTCCCATCTAAACAAACCTACAGCCTCCCATATATAACAAACCTACAGCCTCCCATCTCTAACAAACCTACAGCCTCCCATCTCTAACAAACCTAACACCCTCCCTCTCTAACAAACCTACAGCCTCCCTTCTATACGTGAGGCATCCCATCTCCAATAAACCTAACAGCCTCCCATCTCTATATGTAACGAGCCTACAGCCTCCCATGTGTAACAAACCTAACAGCCTGCCATCTCTAACAAACCTACAGCCTCCCTTCTCTAACAAACCTAACAGCCTCCCATCTCTAATAAACCTAACAGCCTCCCATCTCTAACAAACCTAACAGCCTCCCCTCTCTAACAAACCTACAGCCTCCCTTCTCTAACAAATGTAGGCTTGTTAGAGATGGGAGGCTGTTAGGTTTGGGAGAGATGGGAGGCTGTTAGGTTTATTAGAGATGGGAGGCTGTTAGGTTTGTTAGAGAAGGGAGGCTGTAGGTTTGTTAGAGATGGGAGGCTGTTAGGTTTGTTAGAGATGGGAGGCTGTAGGTTTGTTAGAGATGGGAGGCTGTTAGGTTTGTTAGAGATGGGAGGCTGTAGCCTGCCATCTCTAACAAGAAGGCAGCCTCCCTTCTCTAACAAACCTAACAGCCTCCCATCTCTAACAAACCTACAGCCTCCCTTCTCTAACAAACCTAACAGCCTCCCATCTCTAACAAGCCTACAGCCTCGCATTTCTGACGTTTCCTTTTGGGTCTGGGATCACTTGTACAGTCTTTACAAAGTATTTGATTACAGACTGAACTACAGGCAGTGGTCACACAGTTCGGGGAATATCAGGAGTCAGATAACATGGGGAAAATCAGTGCCGCGTTCTGGGATTCCTGGCCATTTCCTTCCTGGCTGAGAGCCTCGTATGCAAATCTCCAAACATCACACCGGGGCGGGGTGCACAGGAGAGCCGAGTGAGGCCCTGGCCCCTATGCCGCTTGCCAGGTTCACCTTCAGGGTGATTGTAGCATTTTTATGGCAAGGAAAATAAACGAGCCGTTACCTTTCACCAAATCGCACTGTATTTTATTCATTTAGGGTGTACACACCTATCTGCTCTTCAAAGGAATTTTGGGCAGATTGTAAAATTACGCTCAACATACAGCAAGGCGACTATAAATACAAAAGCAGCACTGAGGTGCTGGTGCTGCGGGTGGGTCACGGGATAAACCAGGCGTGGGGTCTGGGTCACGGGATGACCCGAGGGTGGGTCACGGGATAAACCAGGGGTGGGGTCTGGGTCACAGGATGACCCGGGGGTGGGTCACGGGATAAACCAGGGGTGGGGGGCTGGGGCGGGGGAATGAACGGGGGGCGGGTCACAGGATGAACCGTGGGCGGGTCATGGGATAAACCAGGGTGGGGTCTGGGTCACAGGATGACCCGGGGGTGGGTCACGGGATAAACCAGGGGTGGGGGGTGGGTCACGGGATGAACGAGGGGAGGGTCACGGGATGAACGGGGGGGGGTGGGTCACGGGATGAACGGGGGGGGGTGGGTCACGGGCTGAACCGGGGTTGGGGGTGGGTCACGGGATGAACGGGGTTGGGGGCTGGGTCACGGGATGAACGGGGGGTGGGTCACGGGATGAACAGGGGGTGGGTCACGGGATAAACCGGGGTGGGGGGCTGGGTCATGGGATGAACGGGGGGTGGGTCACGGGATGAACCGGGGTGGGGGGTGGGTCATGGGATGAACCGGGGTGGGGGGCTGGGTCATGGGATGAACCGGGGTGGGGGGCTGGGTCATGGGATGAACGGGGGGGTGGGTCACGGGATGAACCGGGGTGAGGGGTGGGTCACCGGATGAACGGGGGTGGGTCATGGGATGAACCAGGGGTTTCCGAGGTCGCAGGCGGCTTCCTTGCCCCGTGACCTGGCTGGGGCTGCTTAACTTATGAGCAGTTCGGCTTCCTCGCGGGCGCCGGGGCGGTGCTGCCTTCTCACACTGCAGTCCTGTGAATATTCCATGCAGTCAGAAGCTCAGGCGGTTCAGGGTGTGGTGGGGCCGCCCAGGACCAGGACCCCTCCGCATGGGGACCAACCCCTGTTCCACAGCTGGGGAGGGCTAGTGGCTGACACCACAGTGATGAGGCTCTTAACAATTGCTTCTGCCCTCAGGAGGGTAGCCCAGCACCCCCCTGGGGGAGGGGCCCGACCCAAAAACTGGCCAGCAGTGGGCACATCAGGCCCCTGGGCCTCGACACCAAGGGGGTGATGGGCTCCAGAGTGCCCGTCGCCGCTGCCCAACTCTGCCCCCAGGTGTGAGTCCCTCGAGCCCTCCGCATAAACCTCTGTGCCCTGGAACCCGACGGGGACACAAGCGGGAAGTTGACAGCCATGCCCTCTGGAACCTTTAGAAAAGAAACCGGCCCAGTGCAAGGTCGTTCAATGCAGAGCCTCTCCTGAGCACAAACAAAATCCAGATGAGTGTCCGCACGGGGCCGTGCGGAGGTCACGGGAGCTGCAGTGTGGGCCGTGGATGGCTCCCTCCCGTACCAAAGGCCGGCGTGAAGACAAGAACACAGGCAGGCAGACGGCAGTGAAAAGCAGCCAGAAATGGAGGAGCTTCAGAGAGGCCGAAGTCTGAAACAGCCCGAAATGGAGGGGGTTCAGAGGGCCCGAAGCGGGACGCACCTGCTCCCTCCCGGGGTGCCGGGGCTGTCAGGGAGGGGTGGGCCGAGAAGTGTGGATGGGTACATGGAGGGTCCCGGGCCCTCGGGGTCTGGCTGGTAGCACTGGGAGGAGGTGAAAAGCAAGGCTTGTGAGGGCTCAGCTCCCAGAGTTGCAACTCTGCGGACTGCAGCGGGGCCTTGGCTCCACCTGCGCTTCTGGTCTCGGCTGCCCTGACAGCCACTGGGCTCCAGGCAGGCCTGGGTGGTGAGGACGGCGCTGGGCTGCGGCCACCAGATCCATGGCTTCCCTGGACAATGACGGGTCAGCCAGACGCTCTAGCTGAGTCAGGGCCTAGGAAACCCCCGCTCCCCCGCCCCATACATGTGAGTCTCCCAAGGGGAGAGCCTAAGGAATGCTGAGACGCAGCGGGTGGGGGAGCGGAAAAGTGTTGGCTCAGGAGCTACCATTTTTTTGTGTGTGTGTGACGGAGTTTTGCTCTGTGGCGCAGGCTGGAGTGCAGTGATGTGATCTCGGCTCACTGCAAGCTCCGCCTCCCAGGTTCACGCCATTCTCCTGCCTCGGCCTCCCCCCAGTAGCTGGGACTACAGGCGCCTGCCACCACGCCCGGCTAAGTTTTCATATTTTTAAGAGACAGGGTTTCATGGTGTTAACCAGATGGTCTTGATTCCTGACCTTGTGATCCACCCGCCTCGGCCTCCCAAAGTGCTGGGATTACAGGGATGAGCCACCGCGCCGGCCACGAGCTACCATCTTAATGCAGAGTGTCGAAGTCTCTCTCCTTGCTGTGCCCAGCCTGGGGTGCCAGGCTGGGTTCTTGGAATCTGGAGGCTGTGCTGCCCAGGGCAGGACTTCCATGTTCCTGGAGCTTGGCCCTTGTGGGCCCGGGGCAGCATCAGCAGGGGTGGCTCTCATGCCCCGGGGCTGCCTCTTTCTCCCCTCAGTGAAGACAGGGTCTGTGCCACTCTGGGCCTCCAGTGTCCCCACCAAGGAGCAGGCACAGCCCCGTGGGACCCAAGGAGCTGCCGTTCCCCTCTGTGCCTCTTTGCTGTGGACTCTGACCTTCTACCTTATTTCTGATTAAGTCTAAAAAAAGACAGGAAAAACCAACACGAGCACATCACGTCACCGAGATACAGGGCAGCGGTCAGGGCCGTGAAGTCCCCGGCTCTGCAGAATCCAATGGGGAGAGCAGTGGCGAGGGTGGCCCTGTGTGCAGAGGTGGCTGCCTGCCCCTGCCGCCCAGCAACCCCCAGCCCAGCCAAGGTCAAGGCCAGTGGGAGGAGCGGCGGGTTTCTGGACAACACCCAGCAATCAAGGCCCCACTGAGGTCGCTCAGACCACACCCTCGGATCCTCCAGCCACACTCAACAGCACTGCCGGGAAAATGGACGGAGCTTGATGTCTCTGCCAGCACCTTTACCTCTGCCCCAGACGAAACACTGTTCAGATCACTCACCCTGCCAGGCTCACCACCCTACTGGGACCAACACCCTACGCAGACCACCACACTGCCCGGACCACCACACTGCCCGGACCACTCACCCTGCCTGGACCACCACACTGCCCAGACCACCACACTGCCCGAACCACCACACTGTCCGGACCACTCACCCTGCCCGGACCACCACACTGCCCGGACCACCACACTGCCCGGACCACTCACCCTGTTAAGACTACCACCCTACCCGGACCACCACACTGCCTGGAGCACTCACACTGCCCGGATCACCACACTGCCTAGACTACTCACCCTGCCCAGACCACCACACTGCCTGGAGCACTCACACTGCCCGAACCACCACACTGTCCGGACCACTCACCCTGCCCGGACCACCACACTGCCTGGAGCATTCACACTGCCCGAACCACCACACTGTCCGGACCACTCACCCTGCCCGGACCACCACACTGCCCGGACCACCACACTGCCCGGACCACTCACCCTGTTAAGACTACCACCCTACCCGGACCACCACACTGCCTGGAGCACTCACACTGCCCGGATCACCACACTGCCTAGACTACTCACCCTGCCCAGACCACCACACTGCCTGGAGCACTCACACTGCCCGGATCACCACACTGCCTAGACTACTCACCCTGCCCAGACCACCACACTGCCTGGAGCACTCACCCTACCTAGGCCACACACTGCTTAGACCACCACACTGCCCTGACCACTCACCACCACCCTACCTGGACCACTCATCATGCCTGGACCACCACACTGCCCGGACCACCACACAGCTTGGACAACCCGCATTGCCACTCACAATGCTAAGTGCAGGAGTCCCAAGGGCCCTTTCTGTAGTAAATGGGGGTTGGTTTGAGAGGTCTGGGTGATTTTACCTTCCTTGGAAAAGAATTTCCTCTCCATCTGGCAGGGAATGGGCTGGGCAGACCCCTAAATCCAGTGATAATCAAACACGGTATGCCTTGAACCCCAGGGATCTTGTTTAAATGCAGTCTCCGTCCCAGCAGGGCCAGGTGGGCCTGAGACTCTGCACTTCCCACAGCTCCTGGGACACCGTTGCTGCTGGACCCCGGGGCACACTGAGCCATGAGGCCCGGTCTGGGTAGGATGGAGGCGATCCCTGCGGCCTGGGTCCCAGAGAGGGCAGGCCTCTCTGGTCCTCCTGCCACTTTAAGGGTGTGAGTCAGGGACCAAGGACTCAAAGGCCCTCAGAGGTGCTGAGTGTTGGGCAGCCTGGAAGCAGCTTCACCTCTAGTCTGTTTTCTCCAGCGCCTGGGGCCCTGAGCGGTGCTTTTGCCTTTCCAGCCCCTTTTCTGATGGTCCTCACGGAGGATGGGCCGCCTCCCGGGGCGCTGAGCAGGTGCTTTTGCCTTTCCAGCCCCTTTTCTGATGGTCCTCACGGAGGATGGGCCGCCTCCCGGGGCGCTGAGCAGGTGCTTTTGCCTTTCCAGCCCCTTTTCTGATGGTCCTCACGGAGGATGGGCCGCCTCCTGGGGCGCTGAGGAGGTGCTTTTGCCTTTCCAGCCCCTTTTCTGATGGTCCTCACGGAGGATGGGCCGCCTCCTGGGGCGCTGAGCCACTGCTTTTGCCTTTCCAGCCCCTTTTCTGGTGGTCCTCACGGAGGATGGGCCGCCGCCCGGGGCGCTGAGCAGGTGCTTTTGCCTTTCCAGCCCCTTTACCTGTGGTCCTCACGGAGGATGGGCCGCCGCCTGGGGCGCTGAGCAGGTGCTTTTGCCTTTCCAGCCCCTTTTCTGGTGGTCCTCACGGAGGATGGGCTGCCCCAGCCATCAGCACAATTTAGGAGGGGCTTTGTTTCCTTGGAGGGTGGCAGGTTTTTAATCCTGGATCCCGTTCTTCGGTGGTTATAAAACTGTTCGGATTTCACGTCTCCTTGATTGACAGCTTATGTTTTGCGAGGAAATTGTTCGTTTTGTATGTGTGCATCTGTACATGCGTTATGCACGCGGGACACGCACACGGAGATACCGAGTTTCCGCCGGGTCCCTTTGCTCCCATTTCTGTTTCCAACATCAACCATTTGTGCTTCTCTTTTTTCGTGCCAGCGTGTCGTGTTGTCTGTTTCATTATTTCAAAAACCAGCAAGGCTCCACAAGGCTCCATTGATTCTCACCATCCTGAGGCTCAAGGAACACAGCAGACAGAGATCTCTTCCTCTGTGGGGCTGCCACATGGTGCATTTTAATTGGTAGAATGTTTATTACTCCTCTGTGGGTTTGCATTTCCTTTCCTTTGCCTTTTTTTTTTTTTTTTTTTTGAGACAGGGTCTCACTCTGTCACCCAGGCTGGAGTGCCGTGGTGCAATCTCAGCTCACTGCAGCCTCAACCACCCTGAGCTCAAGCCATTGTCCCACCTCAGCCTCCCCAGTAGCTGGGACCACAGGCACATGCCACCATGCCTGGCTAATTCTTCTTATTATTTATTTTGTAGAGACAGGGTTTTGCCATGTTGCTCAGACTGGTCTTAAACTCCTGGCCTCAAATGATCCTCCCACCCTGGCCTCCTAAGGTGCTGGGATTCCAGGTGTGAGCCATCATGCCCAGCCTTGTCCAGCTTCTTTTTTTTTTGAGACAGTGTCTCACTCTGTCGCCCAGTCTGCAGTGCAATGGCGCGATCTTGGCTCACTGCAACCTCTGCCTCCCAGGTTCAAGCGATTCTCCTACCTCAGCCTCCTGAGTAGCTGGGACTACAGATATGCGCCACCATACCCAGCTAATTTTTGTATTTTTAGTACAGACGGGGTTTCACCATGTTGGCCAGGATGGTCTCAATCTCCTGACCTCTTGATCCGCCCGCCTTGGCCTCCCAAAGTGCTGGGATTACAGGCCTGAGCCACCGCACCTGGCCTGTCCAGCTTCTTAAGCTGCTTGTTTTGCTTATTAACACGGTCTTCTCATTTTCTCATGCAGCTATTAAGACTGTGAACATCCTTGAAGGGTCACCGCACTCTCATGGATCATGTCTATGGTCTCCCTGGGAGGCAGCGCCCACGCTGGGGTCTGCCCGGCAAGGCCTCACCCAGAGCTGCCTGCCATCTGTGTCCAGCCCTCTCTCTCTGTCCCCAACTTTCTATCAATCAGCTATCATCTATCACCTGTCTGTATCAATCTGTCCATGTCTGTCATCTGTCTGTTTACCTCCCTCTATCGACCACTTATCTGATCATCTCCCAACCAATTTCCCTCCTGTCTGTCCATCTATCATCTATTCATCTGTCCATTTACCCATCCATCTATCATCCGTCTCAATTTCTGTATCCATGAATCACCTGTATCTTCATCTTTACCTATATCTACCTCTCTCTCCCTTTCTATATCTCTATGTCTCTCCATCTGTATGTTTGTCTATCATCCATGTACCTCACTGGCTGTATAATCTTCTGAGGCAGGAACATTCTGGAAGGCACTGGGCTTATTTAGCCATTCCTCCATCCTTGGCTGACCTGTCAGCTGTCCAGGTTTCCATTGTGACATGAGCTGCTGCTTCGGTTGATGTTCCAGTCTCTCGGCCTCTGCCTGCGTCCTGCACCTTCCTGTGGTGGAAACTCGAGGTCTGTGTGGAGCGGCCCCCGGCTGGCCCCGCAGCGCATGCAGCCTGGAGAGGAGTCGTGTGGCCCGGGCAAATGGCGACGTGTCTTCCATAAACCCTGGGTGTGGAAGGTGTGTTTCCTTCTTGCCCAAACCTCTGTTTAAGGGATATTATTCATTTTTGTTTTCACCAGGCTCTTTTAAAAAGGTACAACAATAATTCTTTGAAAAAAATGTATTGTCTGCTCAACTGTGAGGTTCCAGAAAGGGGAGAAAGCCATCCCAGCTGTAGGTCCAGGGTCTCTGAGTGACCCCGGAAGAAAGGCAGCATGAGCATAAGTCCTCAGAGGGGGTCCCCAAACCGGGGGACGGAAGCCCTGTTCTTGAACCCCAGTTCTTCCCCTCTGTGGTCTGGGGGAGCAGACTCAGAGCCTCAGTTTCCCCATCAGCAAGATGGTGGTCCTTGGAGTCCCTTCCAGCATTACGGCTGTGGCTGTGCTGTTTGCCTTTAGCGGGTTGAAAGGGAAAGACAGGAGGGAAGCAAACCCTTGCGCTCAGTGTTCTGGCGCTGTGAAGAAAATGTACCAGCTGCCCAGAGGTCCTGTAGACCAGTCCCCAGGAGGGAGTCCTCCCCCAGATGGAGGAGAGCCCGGGTGTGCGGGATCCTGAGAGGCCAGAACACCAGGCAGGCGGGGCAGGGTGGAGATGCCCCGGCCGCTGGTGCCAGGCTGCATATGCACCGCTGGTGGGCACCAGATCCCTCCCAACACGGACGACCGGACAGCACCAACACAGGCCCCCGCAGAGGGGCGCAGCTGACGGGACGGCGCCGACACAGGCCCCCGCAGAGGGGCTCAGCTGACGGGAGGGCGACAACACAGGCCCCCGCAGAGGGGCGCAGCTGACGGGACGGCGCCGACACAGGCCCCCGCAGAGGGGTTCAGCTCAGGGGACGGCGCCGACACAGGCCCCCGCAGAGGGGCTCAGCTCAGGGGACGGCGCCGACACAGGCCCCCGCAGAGGGGTTCAGCTCAGGGGACGGCGACGACACAGGCCCCCGCAGAGGGGTTCAGCTCAGGGGACGGCGACGACACAGGCCCCCGCAGAGGGGTTCAGCTCAGGGGACGGCGCCGACACAGGCCCCCGCAGAGGGGCTCAGCTCAGGGGACGGCGCCGACACAGGCCCCCGCAGAGGGGCGCAGCTGACGGGAGGGCGACAACACAGGCCCCCGCAGAGGGGCTCAGCTCAGGGGACGGCGACGACACAGGCCCCCGCAGAGGGGCGCAGCTGACGGGACGGCGCCGACACAGGCCCCCGCAGAGGGGCGCAGCTGACGGGACGGCGCCGACACAGGCCCCCGCAGAGGGGTTCAGCTCAGGGAACGGCGACAACACAGGCCCCCGCAGAGGGGTTCAGCTCAGGGGACGGCGACGACACAGGCCCCCGCAGAGGGGCGCAGCTGACGGGACGGCGCCGACACAGGCCCCCGCAGAGGGGCGCAGCTGACGGGACGGCGCCGACACAGGCCCCCGCAGAGGGGTTCAGCTCAGGGAACGGCGACAACACAGGCCCCCGCAGAGGGGTTCAGCTCAGGGGACGGCGACGACACAGGCCCCCGCAGAGGGGTTCAGCTCAGGGGACGGCGACGACACAGGCCCCCGCAGAGGGGTTCAGCTCAGGGGAGGGCGACAACACAGGCTCCCCGCAGAGGGGTTCAGCTCAGGGGACGGCGACAACACAGGCCCCCGCAGAGGGGCGCAGCTGACGGGACGGCGCCGACACAGGCCCCCGCAGAGGGGCGCAGCTGACGGGACGGCGCCGACACAGGCCCCCGCAGAGGGGTTCAGCTCAGGGAACGGCGACAACACAGGCCCCCGCAGAGGGGTTCAGCTCAGGGGACGGCGACGACACAGGCCCCCGCAGAGGGGTTCAGCTCAGGGGACGGCGACGACACAGGCCCCCGCAGAGGGGTTCAGCTCAGGGGAGGGCGACAACACAGGCTCCCCGCAGAGGGGTTCAGCTCAGGGGACGGCGACAACACAGGCCCCCGCAGAGGGGCGCAGCTGACGGGACGGCGCCGACACAGGCCCCCGCAGAGGGGCGCAGCTGACGGGACGGCGCCGACACAGGCCCCCGCAGAGGGGTTCAGCTCAGGGAACGGCGACAACACAGGCCCCCGCAGAGGGGTTCAGCTCAGGGGACGGCGACGACACAGGCCCCCGCAGAGGGGTTCAGCTCAGGGGACGGCGACGACACAGGCCCCCGCAGAGGGGTTCAGCTCAGGGGAGGGCGACAACACAGGCTCCCCGCAGAGGGGTTCAGCTCAGGGGACGGCGCCGACACAGGCCCCCGCAGAGGGGTTCAGCTCAGGGGACGGCGACAACACAGGCCCCCGCAGAGGGGCGCAGCTGACGGGACGGCGCCGACACAGGCCCCCGCAGAGGGGCGCAGCTGACGGGACGGCGCCGACACAGGCCCCCGCAGAGGGGTTCAGCTCAGGGAACGGCGACAACACAGGCCCCCGCAGAGGGGTTCAGCTCAGGGGACGGCGACGACACAGGCCCCCGCAGAGGGGCGCAGCTGACGGGACGGCGCCGACACAGGCCCCCGCAGAGGGGCGCAGCTGACGGGACGGCGCCGACACAGGCCCCCGCAGAGGGGTTCAGCTCAGGGGACGGCGCCGACACAGGCCCCCGCAGAGGGGCTCAGCTCAGGGGACGGCGCCGACACAGGCCCCCGCAGAGGGGTTCAGCTCAGGGGACGGCGCCGACACAGGCCCCCGCAGAGGGGTTCAGCTCAGGGGACGGCGCCGACACAGGCCCCCGCAGAGGGGCTCAGCTCAGGGGACGGCGCCGACACAGGCCCCCGCAGAGGGGTTCAGCTGACGGGACGGCGCCGACACAGGCCCCCGCAGAGGGGCTCAGCTCAGGGGACAGCGCCGACACAGGCCCCCGCAGAGGGGCTCAGCTCAGGGGACGGCGCCGACACAGGCCCCCGCAGAGGGGTTCAGCTCAGGGGACGGCGCCGACACAGGCCCCCGCAGAGGGGTTCAGCTCAGGGGACGGCGCCGACACAGGCCCCCGCAGAGGGGTTCAGCTCAGGGGACGGCGCCGACACAGGCCCCCGCAGAGGGGTTCAGCTCAGGGGACGGCGACGACACAGGCCCCCGCAGAGGGGTTCAGCTCAGGGGACGGCGCCGACACAGGCCCCCGCAGAGGGGCTCAGCTGACGGGACGGCGCCGACACAGGCCCCCGCAGAGGGGCTCAGCTCAGGGGACAGCGCCGACACAGGCCCCCGCAGAGGGGCTCAGCTCAGGGGACGGCGACGACACAGGCCCCCGCAGAGGGGTTCAGCTCAGGGGACGGCGCCGACACAGGCCCCCGCAGAGGGGCTCAGCTCAGGGGACGGCGCCGACACAGGCCCCCGCAGAGGGGTTCAGCTCAGGGGACGGCGCCGACACAGGCCCCCGCAGAGGGGCTCAGCTCAGGGGACGGCGCCGACACAGGCCCCCGCAGAGGGGTTCAGCTCAGGGGACGGCGCCGACACAGGCCCCCGCAGAGGGGCTCAGCTCAGGGGACGGCGCCGACACAGGCCCCCGCAGAGGGGTTCAGCTCAGGGGACGGCGCCGACACAGGCCCCCGCAGAGGGGCTCAGCTCAGGGGACGGCGCCGACACAGGCCCCCGCAGAGGGGCTCAGCTCAGGGGACGGCGACGACACAGGCCCCCGCAGAGGGGCTCAGCTCAGGGGACGGCGACGACACAGGCCCCCGCAGAGGGGCTCAGCTCAGGGGACGGCGCCGACACAGGCCCCCGCAGAGGGGCGCAGCTGACGGGACGGCGCCGACACAGGCCCCCGCAGAGGGGTTCAGCTCAGGGGACGGCGACGACACAGGCCCCCGCAGAGGGGTTCAGCTCAGGGGACGGCGACGACACAGGCCCCCGCAGAGGGGTTCAGCTCAGGGGACGGCGACGACACAGGCCCCCGCAGAGGGGTTCAGCTCAGGGGACGGCGCCGACACAGGCCCCCGCAGAGGGGTTCAGCTGACGGGACGGCGCCGACACAGGCCCCCGCAGAGGGGTTCAGCTGACGGGACGGCGCCGACACAGGCCCCCGCAGAGGGGTTCAGCTGACGGGACGGCGCCGACACAGGCTCCCCGCAGAGGGGCGCGGCTCAGGGGACGGCGACGACACAGGCCCCCGCAGAGGGGCTCGGCTGACGGGACGGCGACGACACAGGCCCCCGCAGAGGGGTTCAGCTCAGGGGACGGCGACGACACAGGCTCCCCGCAGAGGGGCTCGGCTGACGGGACGGCGACGACACAGGCCCCCGCAGAGGGGCGCGGCTGACGGGACGGCGACGACACAGGCCCCCGCAGAGGGGTTCAGCTGAGGGGACGGCGCCGACACAGGCTCCCCGCAGAGGGGCGCGGCTCAGGGGACGGCGACGACACAGGCCCCCGCAGAGGGGCTCGGCTGACGGGACGGCGACGACACAGGCCCCCGCAGAGGGGTTCAGCTCAGGGGACGGCGACGACACAGGCTCCCCGCAGAGGGGCTCGGCTGACGGGACGGCGACGACACAGGCCCCCGCAGAGGGGCGCGGCTGACGGGACGGCGCCGACACAGGCCCCCGCAGAGGGGTTCAGCTCAGGGGACGGCGACGACACAGGCCCCCGCAGAGGGGTTCAGCTCAGGGGACGGCGACGACACAGGCCCCCGCAGAGGGGTTCAGCTCAGGGGACGGCGACGACACAGGCCCCCGCAGAGGGGTTCAGCTCAGGGGACGGCGACGACACAGGCCCCCGCAGAGGGGCGCGGCTGAGGGGACGGCGCCGACACAGGCCCCCGCAGGGGGGTTCAGCTGAGGGGACGGCGCCGACACAGGCCCCCGCAGAGGGGCGCAGCCGCATTTCCATGTGGCCCCAGCAGCCCCGGGCTGGGTTGGAGGACTCGAGACTCTTGTGTGCCTGCCCCGTACAAGAAGAACAACAACAGAGGGCGCCCCGTGTGCAGGGCTTGGCTCCCAGAGTGCCAGGTCCGCTTGCCTGCAGCATGCCCGGTGAAGCAGGTGCTGCTCCTGCACTATTTTACAGGTGAGGGGACAGCCCTGGGCCACCTCTGTGACCCGAGTCACCGAGGTGCAGTGTGTGACTGGAGGGTCCTCTCTGTCCCTGATAACAAGACACTGAGCTCTTACTCTAGCAGAGCTGGGCCAGGAGCCCTTAGGCAACAAGGCGACCCCTCCCAGGATGAGGCTTTATTTCACATACTTTAAAGATTACCCAATAGCTTATAATTCGCTGACTAAAAGCATACAAGTTTGCTAAGACAATAACTAAATATCACCCACGTAGTCTCCAGGGGAGGAGGAATCGCTGAAAAATACCATCAATAAAAGTTAAAAACTGAAAGGATAGGTCTAACAGTGAAATAGTTTCCAGTTTTCAACACTTCTCTTTAAGAAAGCATACTGTAAAAATGAGAGAAAAAAAGATCTTGACTAGAAGGCATTTGCCAGTCATAGAACTTACAAAAAATTGTATCCAGAAAAACAAAACTCTGTAAATCAATATGAAAAAGACAAGCAACCCATATTTTTTGTTTGAAGAAGGATATAAGGTTGTTTGCCCATTCCTGAGCCAATGTAATGCTGTCTTAATAAATGGTTGATAATAAATCCTGGCATCTGCTGTGGTCTTCACCACACTCATCCTGGCCATTATTGATCGTTTATACCTCCTTGTAAAATTCAGGACAGCCTGTTCATTTCTATTTTTAAAAATCCTATTGGGATTCTGATTGGAATTGTATTACATTTATAAATAATTTTTGGAACTTATCTTCAAAGAAACAACAAAGGTTTCACAGCTGACTTTCAGTGAAACCATGGGAGCCAAAAGAAGATTGAATGGCATCTCAGCAGTGGTGAAAGGAGAGAAAGCTGCCAGCCCCGAGTCTGTGCTCACAGAAGCACCCCAGACAGGAAGAAGAAGTAAAGCCAGCCCGCAGTCCTGTGCTCACAGAAGCACCCCAGACACGAAGGAAAAGTGAAGGCATTTTTGGAGAAACCAAGGCAGATCTGCACCACAAGACATAACCAGGGCATTCTTAGGCTGAAGGAAACAGCCCCGGGTGAAACCACAGAGAAGAGCCTGCCGAGGGGCGGGAGAGTGGGTGACGTCACGCGATAAAGCAGCGCCTCAGTCCATGGGGACATGAGACAGGCGTCCCCATCATCGTCACAGCCAGTGGCACAAAACAGGGAGGGAGAGAGACTAGAGACAATGGGGAAAATAGAACGGGCCTGGAGATCCCAATGGGAAGTGAAGGGTCTTCGGGGTCACAATCGTATTCTCTCTGGTTTTGGTGTCTAACGGAAAACCCCATAATAAACTGCCAAACTCACTTAATGAGCCACCACTTCAGACTCATCATATTGGAAAACATTTTAAAATCTAAGAATGAACACCCAGGCCATGCAGAGAATGCCCAGAACAAGAGAGAGAGAGAGAGAGCAGTGGACAGAAGACTCAAGCAGGCAAGTCCCAGGAACATCTGTAAAGATGAGAATGAACACCCAGGCCATGCAGAGAATGCCCAGAACAAGAGAGAGAGAGAGCAGTGGACGGAAGACTCAAGCTGGCAAGTCACAGGAGCATCCGTAAAGACAAGAATGGGTTCATTAGTGATGGGAAGATGCAAACTAAAACGTAAAACCCACGAGACACCATAGAATACCCACAATTCAGACCTGCTGGCACCAAGAGCAGTGTGCAGCGTGGTGTGGAGGCTCCCACACTGAGGACGGGAATCGGTGATGCCCCTTGAGCTGGGCAGGATCTACTCAGGTCCAAGGCTCACACGTCCAGCGACCCCAGCTGCTAGTGACCCTCGCACACACAACAGGCCATAAACAGGAACCCATGGCCCCCACGGCCGCTAGCAGGAGGCAGGACATGGCTCCATGGCTCAGGGAAGCCAGGAGACAGCACCAGTGCCTGCCCAGCCCACCTGCCCTCCAGCTGCCGCCCGTGTGGGCCTGCACCCCTGCAACACTCGCCTGTGGCTGAGGGGCTGCCTCTCTGAGGGGCCTGGGAGCGAGGTTGCTGCAGCTATCTTCCGCCAGCAGCCAGGAGGCCTCTGCAGCCCTGCTGGACCCCTGGAGAGTACATCCCGGAGAGAGCGTGGCTGCAGGCAGAGCCCTACGCTCCCCTCCCGCGGTTGCTGTTGTCTGAACAGCCACGCCCGTAGCAATGGTTCAGGGGTTCCTGGGGCCTTTTCCCCCTGGGTCTTCCGCCTGTCTTTCGGGGTCGAGAGAGCTGTACTCGGGCAAGCCCCACCATCCTGCACTCACAGCAGAGCCCTGGGGCCTCCTATCTGCACCCAGCCCTGAAGCTGTTGTCTCTGGCTGCAGCCCTCCTGGAAGCCACAGCCTTTCCCCCTTTCCCTATCCCGAAGCTCTTTCACCACTTCCAGGCCACCCTCCCTTCCTCTTTCCTAAACCCTGGGTCATCGCGACACTGCCCCCGCATCCCCGTGACAGGGCATCCCCTCCTCTCTCTAGGGTTTCAGTTCCTGGCTCAAAGCAGCTCTCCACATCGACCCGTGCCTCGATTACTGGCAACTTCAAAATGTGCACAGAGCCCCCCTTGAACTTGGCTTCTCAGATCTCTGAGCCCCTCCAGGGGTCCTGTCCTCCACCTGCCCGGCCCCTTGCCCCACATTCACAGCCCAGACACATCGCGGCAGCTCCCGCACCCCCCTCACCCCGGGGGGGCCTTCTGCCCCCTCAGCACCGTGAGCTGGCCCTACCGCCCCTGGCCCTCCTGGTGCCTCCTGCGCCTGCTGCTCTCCCGTTTCTCCTCTCCATCATGTCAGCAGCCCTTTTGCAAACAGACCCTTGGTCTGTTGGGGCCTCTCAGGCATGGCACAGGCTCACCTGTGGGTGTCTTTGCAATGGCAAAGCACCCACCTCCATTTCCATACCCGCCCCTCCCACTGACCCGCATTCCCAGTCGACCCACCGCTGCCTGAGGGTCAGCGGTCCTAACATTTAGAAAGGGCCACGTGGTGCCCAGTGTCCAGGTGGGGCTGGAGCCAGGTCCTCAGCCCCCAGACCCCTTCCTCCTCCCACCCTGGCCCCAGGCTGACCAGTCCTGAGTGCAGACACCGGTGCCACAGGGACATCCCAGCTGGGCGAATTCTTTTTGTAAAGAGGAGGTCCTCAGAATCAGCTCTAACTGTCATGCCCTCTTTGTTTATCTTCATCGTAGTCGCAGCCCTTGCTGGGTGGTCAGTTCTTTGTTAAGGTTGATACTGAGCCCCAAATCTGATTTGCCCCAAGAGATGAATGATTTTCTCTGCAGTTACTGGGCGGCTTTCTTAGGACTAGAGAATGGTGAGTGGTTGACATTAATCTCCGCAAACTCAAAATAAAAATGGAAACAAATGTACCAAGAGCTGCAAGGCAACGGCTGACCCACCCCCCACATGGGATCACAACCTCTGGTGGCCATCTGTGCACACCCAGGTGGGGCCAGGCCCCGGGGCCCTCTCTGATGGCAGCCGACGGGCTCCCTCGGGCCTGCGCAGTGCAGCCTGGACGGCGTGGGCTTAGGTGGCCATTTCACCACAAAGTCCCTTCAAAGGCTCAACAGGTTTTGAGGCATAGCCTCCCTCCTCCAGACCCCGCTGGCCGGCCGTGTGGAATGAGAGCTGAGGGTGTCTGGTCTCTCAGGGGCATCGGGGAGGGAGGCCCAGCGATGGCCTCGGTGATCCATTTGCCGCAAGAGGACCAGCGCTTACTCGAAGAAGATTTAAAACACACAAGGAACCGTGAAACCAAACCAGAAAAGCCCTGCTGACCGAGCCGCCCCTTCTAGAGGCCGAACAGGCATGGAAACCCTGAGCCGACACAGGCACTTACCCAGCAGAGAGGACAGGGCCACCAGGATCCACATGGCCACAAAGAAGGGGGTGTGCACGGGTAGCCACCGCAGGCTGACCACTGGAAACCCGCTGCTGTTCCGGGCAACGGGGGGCTCTGGCCCTGGGCCCCGGCCAACGAGTGTGCAGGGATGGGCTGTGCCCACCAGCAAGGCCAGCAACGTGAAGGCACAGAGTCCAGACCCCTGGGGCTGCATGCTGGGGGCACGTGCCGCCGACAAGGCGCTGTGTATCCGCCGGGCTCTTCTCGACTTCGTGGACCTGGTATCTGCAGGGAGCCACCTCGTTGGTCCCCGGTGAGCCCTAGAGCTGTGCCAGTTCTTCCTGCCTCACCCCAGCACCTTCCCTCTGCTGACCACAGCCCAGCCTTGTCCTGGGCAGCCTGTGGCCTCCAGGCCGTCAGCAGATAAGCATTCCGTGTGGCTAGAGGGCCTTCCTGGGAGCTGGACCTCCCCAGCGGGAGTTCAAAGCCCTTGCCCATTTTCCTGGTCTGGGAACAGAAGCGGCCCGCCCATCCCCTCTATGAGATTAGGTTCTACCTATCATGTAAAATAAAAGCTGATGAAGAAACAGGGTTTAATTGGTTTCTTATCAGGTGTTTCGTCCTTGTTTGGAATTCTGTGTGGATGGGGGAGCCATGGGATTACACCCAATAAGGTCACCTGCAGATCAGCAGTGCGGCCCCCGTGGGGTCCGCACCCAGGCGTGTGCTCACCTGCAGATCAGCAGTGTGGCCCCCGTGGGGTCTGCTCCCGGGCATGTGCTCACCTGCAGATCAGCAGTGCGGCCCCCGTGGGGTCTGCTCCCGGGTGTGTGCTCATCTGCAGATCAGCAGTGCGGCCCCCGTGGGGTCTGCACCCAGGCGTGTGCTCACCTGCAGATTAGCAGTGCGGCCCCCGTGGGGTCTGCACCCAGGCGTGTGCTCTGCACCCAGGCGTGTGCTCACCTGCAGATTAGCAGTGCGGCCCCCGTGGGGTCTGCACCCAGGCGTGTGCTCCACAAAGCCCCCTCTGGCTTCAAGGCAGCACTGGGTCCTTTGCCCCGGACCCTCCTGCTGTTCCCACGTCTCCTCTGGCTCCTGAGCCTCACCTCCACTGGCTCCTGAGAGGCTCTTCCTCCCGCACACCTGTGCCCAGGTGGCCTTGCCCACTGCAGGTGCAAAGCCCCTACCTTAGCATCGGAGACCCCAAGGCTGGTGGGGGTGGGGTGTCCTGCATAGTCAGCCCCAGCCTGGGGCAGGAGGCCGGGGCCTGGTGTGGCCTTGCGGGGAATCAGAGCCCTTGCCGGCAAGGGCTGTCCACACAGCAGGGGAGCCGAGCCCAGGCCAGAAGGGAAGGGCATCTCCAGCAGGGGATGGTCACCTAAGGGGATGGTCACCTAAGGGGATTGATCCACGATGCAAATGTGTCAGAGGCCTTGGGAGCTGGTCTTACTGTCAGAGTTTCAGATTTTGAAAAGAGAAAACTGTCACAAACTCTGACTTGGATTCGGTTTGGAGGCATCTGTGTGAATTTAGGATTTGCAAAACGAATAGGAGTGTATAGAAATAAATACGGCCTGCCTCCACGTCTTCAGGTTCCGCACCACAGATTCAACCGAGGATCAAAGATACTTGGAAAAGAATAAAAAATAACAATATAGAAAAAATACAAATAAAAATAACAACACAGTGTAACAACTATTTACATAGCATTTCCATTGTATTCGGTACAATGAATAATCCAGGGATGATTTAAAGTACCGGGAGGATGTGTGCAGGTTACTTGCAAATCCGACATCATTTTACATCAGGAACTTGAGCTCCTGCAGGTGGGTTAAACTCGGGGGTCCTGGAACCCATCCCTTGAGGACTGCAAAAGACAAACATATGGGTGTCAATGACAGTCCCAAATCATAGACCCTGGAATAAAGCTGGAACCCACAAGCCCATCCTTACATGATAAAGATGCGGAAGACTTTAGGGGTCTTTTGCAGCCTCTCAAGGTGCCTCGTGACTGTGCTGGAGTAGACCAGTAACTGTACTGTGAAAATGCTTGACAGCAGCAGCTGACTCCACGCGGACCTGGAGCCGCGGCTGCGGGCAAGGGCACCTGCACACAGGGGTGTGCAGCACGGGAGAGGCTGAGCTGTGCCTCGGATGCTCCTGCCACAGGCTCATAGCTTGGTCCTGTCTCGAAGAAACTCCTGACACACCCCAGAATGAATGAGGGTCTTCACCCAATAAGTGCCCCGCAACCATCTCGGGAGAAAAAGAGGCCAAGCCGCAGAGGACCATGCTTGGTTTCAATTGGACAGCTGGATTCGCTCCGAGGGCTCTGAGGTCAGCAGGTGGCCACCAGTCAAGCCGATGTCCTGACCTGGGAGTACGCAGGACAAGGAGGCACCGAGTCAGCAACAGACCCCTAGATGGTCAGAGAGATATTCCCGTGCTACTCTTGACACCTTTCTGTAAAAGAAAAAATTCAAATAATACATTACTTAAATAAATTAAAAGTTTATATTAAAAAATACACACAACTTCTGCTTCCAGCTACAATATAGAAAGTCTCAAGAGCCTATTTTCACCAACAACCTAAACAAGCCACATAAGCTATAAATTCACAATAAAAAAAAAAACCCGCCAGAAAGCTGAGGATACATAGACACCCGATTGAATTAAGCCACCAGAAGTGAGGAGCCCCCAGGGGAAGGGTGTGGCTGATCACTGGCCCGGAGACAATGGGGTCTGAAAACGAAAAGGCGGCTTCTGCAAGCTGACGAAACCAGACACCACCAATAAACAAAACCCAAATCCACAAACCCAGAATTTTATACAGAACAAAAACGTCCTTCAAACATGAAGGGTAAATACAGATATTGTCAGACGATAAAAAGCATTTGTTGCCAGCAGAATTCGAGTGTGGAAATCATAAAGGAAAATGTTCAGCTGAAGGAGAACGACCTTGGGCTGGGAACAGGGAAGGGCCGAGTCCTTATGCGGCAAATTCAGCACTGGCAATTACTGACTTGCTGAAGCGAGCTTGTCCTCCTCTTGACCTGTGGGCCACATGTGGCCCAGGATGGCTTTGAATGCGGCCCAAGACACATTTGTAAACTTTCCTTAAAACATAATGAGATTTTTTTTGTGATTTTTTTTTTCTTTTAGCTCATCAGCTATCGTGTTAGTGTGTTTTATGTGTGGCCCAAGACAATTCTTCTTCTTCCAATGTGGCCAAGGGAAGCCAAAAGATTGGACACCCCTGGGCTAAAGGAACTTCAGTGACAGTGCTGGGTTGTCATGTGACGTTTGTACGATGCCAACAGCAGAGATGGTAGAAGGGTGAACGGGCGTGAGCCATCCTCTCCGGCACGGCTAGTCTTCCCTGACACCGTAACGCTAGTGAGGAATCGCTAGGATGACTAAAGACTTCAAATCTACATGAAGGAAACTTTAAAATGCGACTGAGAGGGCCAGAAATAAGTGACCAAATCTAAGGGTATAGAATACCTGGACAGAAAGACTTTCTTCAGAAAGATCAAGTTACAGCTGACTCATTCTGTGGATTTAAGGTCCCAATAAATGGTCCAAAAGAATATTTTTAAACTATACCAACTCTTTTTGATGTTTAAATAGGCAAAACAAAGGAGTTTCTGGCTAAACAGATCATAGGCAGGGTGCCCCGGAAGAGAAGCAGCTGTGGGGGTCCGCCTTGTCACATTCAGGCCCGTTACGGAAACAAGTGCCTCCTTGGTTCAGGCTGCAGAGGGGAATGAATGTCTAGAGGAAGACCCCAAAACACCAAGACTTTGGGATATGACCAAGGCATCATTTCAAGTTAGTTGAGAAGACATGGTGGGAGACAGGGTTTGTTCTGTTTGTATAAAACAAAGAGAAATCGTGTGTACTCCTGACAGCTCTGGAAGGGCCCGTGGCGACCCCAGGGCCGACTGTTCTGGGAGGGAGCTGTGTGGCCAGGAGACCCATTCATGTCTCCTTTCTATTACATGCGTGCGTTGTTACACGTTAAAAAACGAACAAACAAAAAACCCAAAACAACAACAACAACAACAACAAACAAGTGCAACGTGACTTTTTAAAGCTGGGCCTGAGAGCCCCAGGGAGAGCCGGGCCTGGGTGCCCAGCAGGACCCTGAGCTGCAGAGCCGGCCAGCGGCTGGGGGGCCGTTCTCCCTCCCGGACCCTGTGCATCCTCCAGAGCAGGAGCCTCCCTAGTTTCTCCTGCAGCTTCTAATCCTGGCGCCTGGCATGGAAATCGTCCAGCGACAGGCGGGGCCCCTGCTGCTGCTGGTGAGATGGTGTTTACGATGCTATTGAAACGCCCAGATCCTGGCCAGGATCTGAGAGGCCAGAGGCCCCTCCCCACCTCCCGGGGTCTACCCAGGTGGGAAGGGAGCAGAGGGGGCTGGCGTGGAGCCACATGCAGCCCGGCGGTGTTTGACCCTGAGTGCTGAGATCCTTCATGAGTCCGGGCTCCACTTTCATCAGAGGGCACCGTCCTCCAAGAGAGCTCCCCCACGCGGGGCTTTATGGAGGGTCTATAAAGGTGACCCCTGTTCCTCGTCAAGGACTTCTTTTTCTTTCTTTTGTTTTGCTCCTAGTATATTCCTGGTGTGTGCATCTGTCACCACAGTGCATTTTAGAACATTTCATGCCCCCCACCCCCTGCCTCAGCATTCACCTCCTCCCACCTCCCCAGCCCCCAGCCAATTTGAACTCATTGCTGATGGGTGTGTACTTAGGAGTAGATTTTGTACAATCTATTGATGACTTCCATTCCTCCAAGATGCATTTATTCTCCTCAGCCACGTAAAAAAAATTTCCCCTTCCCATAATGTTGTTTCACCTAAAAGGAGTAAGATAC
The DNA here is from genome assembly GCF_000001405.40 of Homo sapiens. Taxonomy (NCBI): domain Eukaryota; kingdom Metazoa; phylum Chordata; class Mammalia; order Primates; family Hominidae; genus Homo; species Homo sapiens. The sequence continues at coordinate 52,144 of NT_187550.1, read as the reverse complement.
TAATTCAGCCTTAAGTGGCCTTTATTTATCCCTTCAAGATGAGCAGTTATTCCGATTAGACTGGAAAATAGTAACCAGAAATATTAGGCCAACTGCATTCTAAATAGTGTATTTTTGGTCTTAGGAACAGGTAGGGTATCCCCTTAAGAGGCCTGGCTTTTGCCTAATAACATTGAAAAAAGGAGACCCTGGGGTCTGCGTGGTGATCAGACTGACAGCCAACTTCTCACCCACAGCAACAGAGGTCAGGAAGCAATGCAACAGCAGCCTCCACGTGTGAAGGGCAGGTGACACCAACACCGGACTGTCAGTGCAGAGGGCAGGTGACGCCAACACCGGACGGTCAGTGCGGAGGGCAGGTGACGCCAACACCGGACGGTCAGTGCGGAGGGCAGGTGACGCCAACACCGGACTGTCAGTGAAAGCGTCATTCCAGCGTGCAGTAAAATAAAGGCACTTGGGACACATACAGACCAAAAAGGAGACACAAAACTCACAGACCATCCCTGAAATAAGTACGAGACATGCCCTTCACCAAGGAAAGAGACCCCAGGAGGAAGGCATGGAACAAAAGGAGCAAAGACATGCAGAGAAAACCCAGCAAGGCGATCAGCAAACATAAACAGCCATTGGTTATTTTATGAAGAACACTTGGGCCACAGGAAAACAGCATGGGGAGTTTTCCCCTAGAAACAGCAAGATGGCTTGTATCAGAACAACCCTCCTGTGAACAATAATTATAAGCTCTGGAAAAACTATAAAACACTACTGGAAGTGAATGGAGAGCAAACAGAGATGGCAGAGACTCAGTGTGGTAGCCTTTGAAAGCAGGAACTGCAATGGGTGAGCTTCACGCACAGCTCACACCTGAGGGTGTGCCCTGGTCACCTAGCTGGGGGTGTTGTCAGCAGAGCACTGCAGTCTCTCTGGCTGGACACATAGGAGGCCAGAGAAGGAAGGTTAGAACCCCAAAAGGAGGGAGGGTGGAACCCCAAAAGGAGGGAGCCACAGATGACAGGGCCCTCAGCATTGTGTGTAAATTGCATCTCAATCCTGTCCTGGACTGAGCACCCTGGGGGAGATGTTGAGGGTCCCTGCAGAGAGGCAGCAGCTACTGCCACAAGGGAAGGTGGGACGTGGTCACAGTGCACAGGCACGTGGCCTGCAAGGGCGAGAGTGACATCTTCCAGCACAGAAAATGTAAGCCAGAGTCTCTGTGTCGTATTGACAACAACAGTCATATACTGTGGCTGACAAAAAAGCATCCAAACATGAAAAGAAACAGGAAAATGTGACCTACATCTGAAAGAAACAGCAGTCAACAGAAGTGTGCCTCAAGATAATGAAAGATGATAAAATTAGAAGACAGACTCTTTAATATGTTCAGGGAATTAAAGGAAAATATAGTCACAATGAATGAACAGAGAATCTCAATAGAGAGATGGCAGTCATCTTTTAAAAGAACCCATGAGAGGAAAATAAAATCTCAGGACCTGAAGCTCATGGTGCTCAAGGGAAAGTAAAGCTTGGGAGTGGATTCTCATGGAAACCACTGTCCTTTAGTTCCCAGAGAGACAGCGGTGATTTCCTGTGCTCTCTTTATCTCACATAAAACTCAGACTCACTGGGCACTGATCAGAGTCTCACAGAACACAGCCATGTGCCTCACTACCCACCCCCCTCTTTTTTTCTTTCTGTCCTGTCTGCTCTTTCCCTTTCAATACTGAAATTCCCCAAACTCTCTTCATAAACATCGCAGGACACAGACCCCAGAGGGACTCGTGTTTCTTTTTCCTGGGCATGTCCTCAACCTTGCTAAATAAACCTCTAGTTGATTGGGACCTGTCTCAGGCAGGTTTCCCAAACCAAAAGGAAATTCTGGAACTGGAAAGCACCACAGACCATACAATGGGTCATAAGATAAATCTCAAATGTTTCCAATAATTGAAATCACAGAGATGACATTCTCTGATCACAATGGAGTTAAAAGAGAAATCAATAATAATCATACATCTGGGGAAAAACACAAATATTTGCAAATTAAAGAAAACATCTAAATAACCTATGGGTCAAAAGAACCACAGGAGAAATTTGAAAATATTTCAAACAAATGATAGTGAGCACAAAACATATAAAAATCTGTAAGATTGTGTCTGGAGTTGGTTCCTTCCAGTGGGGTCTTTGTCTCACTGACTTCAAGAATGAAGCTGCGGACCTTTGCGGTGAGTGTTACCGCTCTTAAAGATGGTTTGTTCAGAATTTGTTCCTTCAGATGTGTCTGGAGTTTCTTCCTTCCGGTGGCTTCATGGTCTCGCTGACTTCAATAATGAAGCTGCGGACCTCTGCAGTGAGTGTTACAGCTCTTAAAGGTGGTGCGGACCCAATGAGTGAGCAGCACCAAGACTTATTGTGAAGAGTGAAAGAACAAAGCTTCCACAGTGTGGAAGGGGACCCGAATGAGTTGTTGCTGCTGGCTGGGGTGGCCAGCTTTTATTCCCTTGTTTGTCCCTGCCCACATCCTGCTAATTGGTCCATGTTATAGAGCGCTGATTGGTCCATTTTACAGAGCGCTGATTGGTCCATTTTACAGAGTGTTGATTGGTGCATTTACAATCCTTTAGCTAGACCCACAGTGCTGATTGGTGCATTTTTACAGAGTGCTGATTGGTGCATTTACAGTCCTTTAGCTAGACACAAGGCTGACAGGTGTGTTTTTACAGAGTGCTGATTGGTGCATTTACAACCCTTTAGCTAGATACAGAGTGCTGATTGGTGCATTTTTATAGAGTGCTGATTGGTGCACTTACAGTCCTTTAGCTAGACACAGAGCACTGATTTGGTGTTTGTTTACAATCCTCTAGCTAGACAGAAAAGTTCTCCAAGTCCCTACTCGACCCAGGAAGTCCAGCTGCTTCTCCTCTCAAGATGAGCTAAAAATAAGTTTAGAGGGGAGATAATAGCTGTAAGTGCTCACATTAGAAAAAAGATTTTCAAAGAAACGATCTAAGATTCCACTTTAAGAAGTTTTAAAAAGGTGAGCAAATTAAATCCAAAATAAGAGGGGACTAGAAGGAAAAAAATTATAAAGATGAGATACTAATGAATTATAAAACAAATAGAGAAGTCAATAAAGACAAAAGTTGTTTTTTGAAAAGGTTAATAAAACTGATAAAACTCTGACAAGACTGATCAAAGGAAAACTGCAATAATCAATTATCAATGCCAGGAGAAAAGAGATGACATCATTACAGACCCTACAGATGTTAACAGGAAATATCATAACATAACAAATGATTTTCTGCTGATAAATTTGAGAGCTTATGTAATAAATTTTTCTGAAAATAAAACTTACCAAAATTGACACAAAGTGGAATAGAAAACTTGAATATTCCCATATCTATTCAATAAATGAACTTGTTATTGAAAACTTTTCCAGAAAGACAACTCCAGAGCTAGATGATTTCAATGATGAATTTTATCAAATAGTCGATGAAACAACATAATGCAAATATTTAATAAAACATTTCAAAACTTGGGAGAAGGAAACAGAAGAGAACCATTCCTAGCTTTTTTATGAGGCCAGCTTAACTCTGATGTCAAAACCTGGCAAAGACATTATAAGATATGAAAATTACAGATCAGCATCCCTCATAAAGATAGATCCAAAAAACTGTAAACAAATTACTAGCAAACTGAACCCACAAACTTATAAAAAAAGATAATACATCATGACAAAGTAGGGTTTTTCCAGGAATGCAAGATGAGTTTGGTGTCTGAAAACCAAACCAATGTAACTCACCATATTGATGGAATAAAGGAGTAACCATATGAAACATCAATAGGAGCAGAAAGAGCTTCTAACGAAATTCAAAATCCATGTAAGATAGAAGCTCTTGGAAATCTAAGGCATCATGTAAAACCTACACCCACATCATACACAATGGTAAGATGCCAGGCACTTCTCCCCTAAGACCAGGGAGAAGGCAAGGAAGTGTACTCCATCTCCACAACACCTCTTACCCCAGGTTGTAGCCGGACAACAAAGGAAGGGAGAAAAAAGAAGAAAGATTGGTGGGGAGAAAGTAAAATTATCTCTAATCACAGATGATGCAATTATTTACAAGGAAAATTTTAAGGAGTCTTCAGAACTACTGGAACGAATGTGAGATTCACAGGGTCTCAGAACATAAGATCAGTAAACAAAAATCAGTTCTGTATCTATATACTAGCAGCAAATAATCTGAAAATAAAAATTTAAATTATTCAGTTTATAATACCATCAAAACCATAAAATACTTATGACTGAATTTAGCAAACGACATTATCTATAAAATGTCGCTGAAAGAAATTAAAGAGCTGAATAAATGGAGAGACAGCCTTCACGGATAAAAACATTCATTACGGTTATGATGTCAAGTTCTGCCCAGATTCAATTACATTTTCCACGCAATCCCAAATCCGATCCCAGCAGGTCTGAGATGAAGCTGGGGTGAGGGTGAGCAGAGAAGGGCTGAGTCCAGGATGGGGAGTGTCAGGGGACCTTGATTTTTAAAAACCAGTCCTTTGAGAAGAACAGCTCATGGTGCCAGGCAGCGTTGTAGCTCATCACGGCTCAGCCTGGCACATCAGGACTGTGGCCACCACCCTCACATAAGGACGCCGAGGCACCGAGAGGTCATGTGACCTGGCCAGAGCCGCACAGCCAGATGGAGGCTGAGCTATGCGGGGATGCCACAGTGTGCTGACTCCACACACACAAACGCCACCACTTACATTTTTATTTCCCCGTCACTGTCTTGTTTCTCAAAGGACTTGAGGCTCATAGCAGCACAGGTTCCTTAAGGAGGCTCATAGCAGTATAGGTAGGCAGCTGTGTTGAGCTCTCAGGGTGGAGAAAGCCTGGCTGATCTCCACCTGTGGCCTCTCTGTAAAGATCCAGGGTCCTCGGGGTGGCTGTGGCAGCATCTGAGACAGCCCTGGTGTGGGCTGCCTCAGATGCTGGCCTTGGCTCGGGGGTGATCCTGGCCTTGGCTCGGGGTGTGGTTCTGGGTGCTCCCTCCACAGCCCTCTTCTTGATGTGGCTTCAACCTGCCCCGTCCGGGTTTGGCCCCAGCTTCCCGTGAGCTCCAGGGTAATCCCTGTGCCGGCTATGATAGGGACATCTGACCTAGTGGCCTCCAAGTCCTCCCCTGCCCCAGGACTCCTCACTCAGTTCCGGGGAGCGCCGTGCGCCCTGTGCCTCCAGGCTGAGCAGAGTCGTTTGCTTGTAGGTGGCCTCGACCCTGTCTGGAGCTCCCTAACAGCAGCGGGGCCACAGCCCGGTTGTTCCCTCACACCCAAGGCAGAGCTGGGTACACAGCAGGTGCTCAAAGGTGGCTTCACTTTGCAAATAAGAATCTTCAGCAAAGCCCCAGGATCCCAGCAGGGGCCCGCCAGGGGTCCACCACATGAGAGCCCAGGTGTTAACTCAGTGTGTGAGCATCCTTTTAACATAATCCTTAAGTTGGTGGCAGAATTTCCTTCCCCAATAAGCTCTGCCGTGTTTTGAATTTCATCCTGCCTCCCAGTGTGTGTTTTAAAGATCTCTTTACATTTGCTCTGCCCGGGTAGGGTATTCATGTGATGCCAAGCCCAAGGCGTTTCCTTCTTTGCTCTTAATTCTTAAATTCTGCTGGTATTTAATATTTTCAACTTCCAAACCTTCACACGGGTATCTTTACTAATGTAGATCAGATTCATTTGTGTTCCTGGTTGCTACAGAATTAGAAAAACAGGAAGAGAATGAACAAAGTAACGCATCTCCGTGGCAGGTTCGGCAACCCTCAGTGTTCAAGTTTCAGCTGTGCACGGCAGGGCCTGTCTGTGGGATGTAGACATGAGCCGCCCAAGTCACAGCAGAAGGCGAGAGGATTCCGGACCTTTGCGGCCACAGCGAGGACATGGGTGGGAGGGGAAGCATGGGATTTGAGGAGGGTGAACACACACACACCATTAGTAGTTGTAAGTTTTCAGCACGTTTACATCCAAAGTCACTTTGTAAATTAGTAACTTTGTTATTGGAGGTAAATTTTCAAGCTGCTGGTTGGACCTGGCGTTTTGTTGTTGAAGCTCTAGATGGAGGCACAAGCAGCCGGAACTCAGGGACGAAACCCTCTGCCATTTTCAGTTGGTGAGGAAAACGAGCCACAGACAAAGGGAAATGCTGCTTGGTGCAAAAGGAAAACAAAATGAATACAGAGATGCGCGCATACCTGTTTCTGAAAGGAGGAATGAACAGCAAAACCTTGGCAGGGCCAACCTGGCCAGAGGCTGGGCAGGTGCTGCCGGTTTCTCTTCATGCCTCTCCAGGTTGAATCTCCTGGTCTCACCCACCTACCCTTGATTACTTTCTAAAGATATAAGCAGAAGTTTTATAAAGAGTGAGGTGCTGGTCTACTTTCTTTTCTCTTTGTACTTCTCTGAGTAAAGGACACTGAGTCAGCATCCCCACAAATGCTGAATGTATGTATATTGAGCCAGCATCCCCACAAAGGCTGAATGCACACTGAGCCAGCATCCCCACAAAGGCTGAATGCACACTGAGCCAGCATCCCCACAAAGGTTGAATGCATGCCAAGCCAGTATCCCCACAAACACTCAATGCACACCAAGCCAGCATCCCCATACACACTGAATCCATGTCGAGCCAGCACCGCCACAAACGCTGAATGCAACACACACCTCGGCTGGATGTTTGAAGCAGCCAGGAGTCTGCATTTCTGAGACGATGGGAAAAAGTGGATGTGGCCTGGGGATTGGCTGATGCGAGGGAATTGTGCTTGTTTGGGGCCTACTGTATTGGGCTCCATAGGAAACAGGCCTTATTCCTTAGAGACATCTGCTCTGCTGAGTTCCCCAGGGGTCTAATGGCGTGATGTCTATAAGCCAACGCGAGTCCCTCCACCAAGATAATAGGTGAAGTAAACACGGCCAAATGTGAGTGTGTTAGAAGGTGGTGAGGGGCGGCTGACTCTCTCTGCCTCCGTGTACGTTAGGAGTGTTCCATAATTAAAACTTTCTGATCAGGTGCAGTGGCTCATGCCTGTAATCCCAGCACTTCGGGAGGCAGAGGTGGGTGGATCATCTGAGGTCAGGAGTTCAAGACCAGCCTGACCAACATGGTGAAACCCCATCCCTACTAAAAATACAAAAATTAGCTAGTCTTGGTGGCGGGCACCTGTAATCCTAGCTACTTGGGAGGCGGAGGTGGGAGAATCACTTGAACCCGGGAAGCAGAGATTGCAGTGAGCTGAAATGGTGCCACTGCACTCCAGCCTGGGCAACACAGACTCCATCTCAAAACAAAACAACACAACTTTCTTTTGCCCTCTGCCCAGCAGATGCAGCCAGGCCCTGGCAGAGAGGCTGTCTCCCTCTGTCCCCTGGTTCCCTTGTGTTCAGAATTGGTTCCTTCCACCGGGTTCTTGGTCTCGCTGACTTCAAGAATGAAGCCGCGGACCCTTGCAGTAAGTGTTACAGTTCTTAAAGATGGTGTCCGGAGTTTGTTCCTTCAGAGGTTTAGACGTGTCTGGAGTTTTTTTTTCTTTCCGGTGGGTTAGCAGTCTCACTGACTTCAGGAGCGAAGCCACAGACCTTCACAGTGAGTGTTACATCTCTTAAAGGTGATGCTCATTCTTCCTGGTGGATTCGTGGTCTCGTTGGCTTCAGGAGTGAAGCTGCAGACCTTCACGGTGAGTGATACAGCTCATAAAGGTAGTGCAGACTCAAACAGTGAGCACCAGCAAGATTTATTGCAAAGAGCAAAAGAACAATGCTGCCCAGGTACAGACTCGTACCAGCACAGGTTGCCACTGACTAGGCTGGTGGCCAGCTTTTATTCCCTTATTTGGACCCACCCACATCCTACTGATTGGTCCATTTTACAGAGTGCTGATTGGTCCATTTTACAGAGTGCTAATTGGTGCATTTACAAACCTTTAGCTAGACACAGAGAGCTGATTAGTGCATTTACAATCCTTTAGCTAGACAGAAAAGTTCTCCAAGTCCCCAACCCAACCCAGAAGCCCAGGCAGCTTCACTACTCACTACCTTCTGCACTTCCCCACCATCTGCAAGGCTGCACGTTGACCGCAGAGAGCCAGGGCTGGCCACCACCACATCTCATCCCCTGCCGTTCCTGCTGACTTTCCTTCACCCGCACTCCCTTTTTAATTGTGCGGTTCTGTGTTTATTTTGCCTCTTCAAATGCTTTTGACAGTGACACAAAAGTATGTGTTTCCTATGTCAGCTTTACCCAAGAAGCACCTGTGACTGGGGATCGCTCTGCCATCGGCACAGGTGTCTCTGGCCGCGGGCAGCCCGCCTGTTTGGGGTCGGCAAAGGCTCCAGGTGTTGAAGTGGTAAAATCTCGAAGCTGCCTGGCCCATCTCTTACCCCTGCTCTCCTGTGCCGCTTCGTCCTCAGGCCGCCCCACCCAGCAGTCTTGCTATAAAGATTTTCCGAGGGGTCCAGCAAGACTGTGGCTCTCACTCAACCACTTCGCGTTGCCCACTCCTGGTGCCCTTGGACACCTGTGGACGGAGAGTGGGAGAGGCAGTCCTGAGGGAAATTTGAGGTGCTGACACCAGGAAAAGGAAAATGGATGCTGGACTGGCGGACACAGCATGCGTGTCGTGATGGTGAGGGGTGAAGAGGAGTCGCTCCAGTGTGAGGCACATCATCCGAGAACTCCCACGAGTGAGGGCAGGGCTGCGGGGGGCTGGGGCAGTGTGTGCGAGGTAGAACAAGCAGGGAATGTGTCAGGAGCTTTCCCTGCAGGCAGGTAGTAGAAGCTGATGAAGGCTTGCAAACAGAAGATAGGGGTCAAATGTACATTCTGGGGAGGTCACTCTGGCTGCCAGAAGTTTATAACATCAGCAAGTGTGCAAGGCTTGGCTCCTAGTAAACCTTTAATAGATGGATGAACAGAGAGGTGAATGGGTGGGTGAGTGGGATGGTGATGAATGGGTGGATAATGAATGCATGGATTGCATGGATGATGGATGGATGAATGAATGAATGAATAAATGGGTGGGTGGGTAGATGAATGGATGGGTTGATAAATGGATGAATGGGTGGGTGGATGGATGGTTGGATAAATGGGTGGATAAATGGGTGAGCGAGTAGATGGGTGGGTGGGTTGGTGGCTGGATGGGTGGTTGAGTGGCTGGGTGGATGGAAGAATGGGTGGGTGGATGGATGGGTGGGTAGATGGCTGGGTAGCTGGATGGATGGGTGAGTGGATGGGTGGGCGGGTGGATGGATGGGTGGGTGAGTGGGTGGGTGGATGGATGGGTGGCTGGGTGGGTGGTTGGCTGGGTGGGTGAGTGGATGGGTGGACGGATGGGTGGGTGGGTGGATGGATGGGTGGCTGGATGGGTGAGTAGTTGGTTGAGTGGGTAAGTGGGTGGGTGGATGGGTGGCTGGCTGGATGGATAGATAAATGGGTGGGTGAGTGGATGGATGGGTGGATGGATGATGAATGAGCGGCTGGCTGGGTGGGTGGGTGGGTGAGTGGATGGCTGGCTTGGTAGGTGGATGGATGGGTGGCTGGATAGGTGTGTGGGTGGATGAATGGGTGGGTGGATGGGTGGGTGGCCAGATGGATGGGTGGCTGGCTGAGTGGGTGGGTGGATGGATGAGTTGCTAGATGGGTGAGTCGCTGGCTGGCTAGGAGGGTGGGTTGGTAGATAAATGGGCAGCTGGAAGGTTGAATGGGTGGATGGATGGATGGGTGAGTGGATGAATAGATGGCTGGATGGGTGAGTGGCTGGCTGGTTGGGTGGGTGGCTGGATGGGTGGGTGGATGAGTGGATGGGTGGGTGAATGGGTGGCTGGATGGGTGGGTGGATGGCTGGATGGGTGAGTGGCTGGCTGGTTGGGTGGGTGGCTGGATGGGTGGGTGGATGAGTGGATGGGTGGGTGAATGGGTGGCTGGATGGGTGGGTGGCTGGATGGGTGAGTGGCTGGATGGGTGAGTGGCTGGATGGGTGGGTGAGTGGATGGATGGATAAATGGGTGGGTGGATGGATGGGTGGGTGGATGGATGGATAGATAAGTGGGTGACTGGATGTGTGGGTGGATGGATGGGTGGAAGGGTGGATGGGTGGGTCGCTGGATGGGTGGCTGAGTAGATGGATGGATGGATGGATAAGTGGGTGGCTGGGTGGGTGGGCAGGTGGATGGATGGATAGGTGGATGGATGGGTCGCTGGATGGGTGGGTGGGTGGCTGGCTGGCTGGATGGATGGATAAGTGGATAGATGGATGGGTGGGTGGTTGGGTGGCTGGATGTGTGGGTGGGTGGATGGATGGATAGATGGGTGGATGGATGGATGGGTGGGTGGATGGATGGGTTGCTGGATGGGTGGGTGGATGGATGGATAAGTGGGTGGATGGATGGGTGGCTGGATGGGTGGGTGAGTGGATGGATGGATGGATGGGTGGCTGGATGGATGGGTGGCTAGAAGGGTGGGTGGATGGATGGGTGGCTAGAAGGGTGAGTGGATGAATGGATGGCTAGAAGGGTGAGTGGATGGATGGGTGGCTAGAAGGGTGAGTGTGTGGCTGGATAGGTCAGGGAGTGGGTGGGTGGATAGATGAGGGAATGAACAGGTTGAATGGATGGATTCAGGGATGGATGAGAAGGCAGTGAGGCATGAGGACAGCATAGACTTTGACAACATGCTGATTTGACCCTGGCTCTGTCACTCACTCACTGTCCCATCTGAGACAGCTCTGCAGCTCTTGGGTCTCCATCTCCTCATCTGGAAAATGGAGATAATATTTCTGCCCTGGCAGGACTTGATGTAGAGGTAATGGGGTTATGCAGAGCCTGGCACCCAGCAGGTGACTGAACATGGGGACCATGGCACTCCGAGAGTGCTCTGCTCCAAACGCAGCACTGGGGGGTGGGGCACGGGGGGGAGGTCAGGGTGTGCCCCCGCTCCTCCCAACAGCTTCAAAGACAGGACCCTCAATCACACAGAACCCTAGGGAAAGAGCCTTGGCCGAGGTACCCTCCATCCAGAGGTGCTGAGGCTGCGCCCCTGAAGATACACATACGATACACATACTGGAAGTCAATGTTAGATATGGTTTAAATCTCATCCTGAAAGAACTCCAGCCAGGCACGGCGGCTCATGCCTGTTATCCTAGCATTTTGGGAGGCTGAGGTGGGTGGATTGCTTGAGCCCAGGACGTTGAGGCTGCAGTAAGCCAGGACTGCACCACTGCCCTCCAGCCTGGGTGACAGAGTGAGACCCTGTCTCAGGGAGAAAGAAGAAAATAAAGAAAGAAAGAAAGAGAGGGTAGGAAGGGAAGAAGGAAGGAAGGGAGGGAGGGAGGAAGGGAGGGAAGGGGAAAGGAAGGAAGAGAGAAAGAGAAGGAAAGAAGAAAAAGATGAAAGAAAGACAGACAAAAGAGAAAGAATGAAAGAAAGAAAGAAAGAAAGAGAAGCAAGCAAGCAAGCTCCATGCAGTATCATTAGGAAAACAAACGGTGAAGCATAGTTTGTTGAATGAAACCTTTTGTTTAAGATGGGAGGAGGGTGATGAAGTTGCGCAGGCATTTACTTGCATTTGCAAAAGTAATTCTGGGAGCCCGAACATGAAAGCAACAGGCACAGAGTCCGGAGGGCGTGAGAGCTGGCAGGGGACGAGGTGGCAGTGGGAGTTAGGCTGCTGACTGCATAACTTTTTACTGTTTGATTATCAAGCCACACAAATGCATTGCCTTTTGTTAAAATCAAAGAAAATTAAAACAACGCATCTTCCATTTGAGGGAGCAGTTAGCAGGGGTTGAGCCCACTGAGCCACAGTCCACTGCACTTTCCGCTGAGCCCCTGGGATCAGGGCCCTTTCCTGGCTGACCTTGCACCACCCCCTGGGCTTCTGCTGCAAGGTGGCAGTGGGGGAATGGGGGGTGGAGGGCAGCGTGTGAGGGTGCGGGCAGCTCTGACTTGCTGTTTAGAATCATTTCTCCATCAACACCTGAGCCTGGTGGCCCTCACCTTCTGCGTCCATCCTGATGTCCAGCTGTAGCAGCTCCGTGGGCGCCTGTCCCTTCTCTGCAGCTCCAGCTGGTCCAACCACCCTCTCTGTGCCCGCCCCACAAGCTGCTGAACGCTTTGGCTCTGCAGGGGCAACAGAGCCCCAGAAATGCTGAGCTGACTGTGGGCTGCACATTTGACAGCGTCTCTTTGCCAAAGATCCTGGTCTCATTGGCCGAGTGGTGCCCAACAGGCCCCCTGGCCCTCCTGGTGGATGGCATTTGTGGTGCAGGTGCTGGCTGAACATCCTCAAGCTGGTATGGTGCCAGGCCTTCGGGGACAGAGTCCTGCCCATCCCTGAAGAGACCTGATCCCTGGGCAACCAGACCACAGGAGGTGCCCTGGACAGCCTGACTGGGTCAGAGCCCTGGAGACTGGCTGAGCACCGTGCAGAGTCTGTGGCACCTGGGGCTGCTGTATGGCCTCTGGGTGCTGCAGCTTTGTCACCCCTGAGACCCACAAGGCAATGACATCACTCCATAGGTGTTTTTAGAAAAATTAGTAGACTTTATTTTTAGAGCAGTCTTAGGGTTATGGTGAGCAGGAAGGCAGAGGTTCCCATGTACCCCTCCCTCCCTTATTAAACCTTGCGTTTGCATGGAATGCTGGTTACACGTGATGAGCCAATATTGGTAAATTATTACTAATAGACATTGCACATTGTGCAACAATACACACTATTCTGGGCTAATGGGTGCTCTTACTTCCTGGGCCTCCCAAGGCTGCCGCTTCTCAGGGTGGGGTGGGGCCCTCTCAGTACCCACCTTCCTGGAAGAGTGCCTTGAACATGGAGACAGGAGCATTGAGCAGACTCACCCGATCAGGATGCCAGGTGCCCGGCTCCAGCTCTGGCCACAACTGCTTGTGAACTTGCTCTTCCAGATCCTTCCAGGCCACCTTGCAGTGCACAGAGCAGGCCCTGACACATGGAGTTGGTGTGTTCCATACGTGGAGGTGGCATGTTCCATGCGTGGAGGTGGTGTGTTTTATGTGTGGAGATGGCGTGTTCCATACGTGGAGATGGCATGTTCCATATGTGGAGGTTGCATGTTCCATGCCAGGAGGTGGTGTGTTCTATATGTGGAGGTTGCATGTTCCATGCCAGGAGGTGGTGTGTTCCATATGTGGAGGATCTGTGTTCCACATGTGGAGGTGGTGTGTTCCATGCCTGGAGGTGGCATGTTCCATGCCTGGAGGTGATGTGTTCCATATGTGGAAGTTGTGTGTTCCATGCATGGAAGTGGCGTATTCCATAGTGGTCTTGCATGCAGAGCTCTGCACAGTTCACACAGAGGCTCAGGTGCATCCCTTGCTGATTGGCTCATCCAGACAAAGCAGTGAAAACCAAGCCCTGGATTTATTAAGAGGGTGGGAGTCCGGGGTGTGGCACAGACCCCTCCGGTCTCGGCCTGTCTGTCCTTCCAACATTTGTCAGGCAGCAGACATGGCTGTTATGGGAAATATGGAAGCGTTGTCTTGCAGCCATCGTGTCCAGTAATGACCTCATTCCATCGCAAATTGGTGGAGAACATGCTCCCGTGAGTTGCCCCAGAGCACAGCGGTGGGTACAGCTGAGATTCTAGCCTGGTTTTACATCTTCCCCCAGCGGCCAAGCCTCCTGATACTAATTGTCATTTTTGTCAATTGTTTTACATTGTTTTTATGGACACATTATTCACACACGTGTCTTCCTGCAGAACACCTGCCAGTGCTGTGCTGTGTTTCTGCAACACGTCAAAATGCTGTGTGGGTGAAAATGAAGTGGTGACAAGGATGTTCTGTTGACGTTTCCCGTGACATCTTTGGGGGAGGGCAGAGGTGTGAGGCCTTCTGTGTCTGTCGAGGCATTAGGGTCAGAAATGATGATGATGTTTTCAGTCTATAACCTTGAAATAAAAATGAACAAGGAATCATACCTATCCCCAAATCCACAGAATGCCCCAGGCTGCTCCCGGCACAGGTGCAGAGCAGAGCCCAGGCTGTGCCTCATTCTGTGAGCAGCAGCTCTGGGGTGGCAATGGACCCACAGCCCATCCAGGCTGTAATGCGGAGGGTGTGCGTTATTCTTGGCACCTGCCATGCCCACAACCGTCAGAACATTGGGGGCTCATCCTGCAGCTCACCAGCTCTGGAATTTTCTGCCCCGAAAGAGAAAAAGCATAACTCCACACTGTCTGACACTGAAGCTTCCAGGAAGGCATCCTCAGAAGTGCCAGGCTCAGCAGATGCTTTCTCAACCGTGAATTCGAGCCAGGTGTTGTCCCAATTTCAGGACGCTGTGATCTATGTCCTTGTCTTGCAGTGACACCATTGCCTTGCTAAGCCATAAATAATGTGATCAGGAACACATTTTGGCTTTGAAGACAGAAGGTCCCAAACCATCATTCAAATGCAAGAGGGAGAGGAAGGCATCAGCTGCCCACATAGTTCACGCCTCCACCTTGGCTGCACCCTAACCATCCCATTGAGAAGTGTATCCATTATCCATGGCTGTGTAACAAATCCCCACAGCTTAGCAGCTTGAGCAACAAGCACTCATCATCTCACAGTTTCTGTGGGTGAGGAAGCTGGGAGTGGTGAGTTGGGTGGTTCTGTCTCAGGGGCTGTCACATGGCTGCTGTCAAGCTCATGCCTGGGGCTGTGGTAATTTGAAGGCTCAACTGGGGCTGCAGATCTGCTTTCAAGGTCTCTCAAATGAGTTTGGCAGGAGGTGCTATTAAAATATTGAAAGTAATCACAAAAACTGCAATTACTTTTGCACCAACCTAATAGTTGCTCTCCTTAAGTATCTCCTAGAGCCAGTGATGTGAGAGTGAGCACTTGGAATGGAGCCGTGGTCTTCCACAGCCTGATCTCAGAGGTGACACCCACAACATCTGCCACTGTCATTTGGCCTGGGTCCAACCTAGTGTGATGAGAAGTGAATACCAGGAGCCAGGGAGGCATGGTCAGGTTGTGGCACCATGGAGGCTGCTAGCACCAAAGTGGGCATATTCAAATGCACTTCCTCTTGTAGTGGTTTGTTCTCATGCTGCTATAAAGAACTGCCTGAGACTTGGTAATTTATGAAGGAAAGAGGTTTAATTGACTCACAGTTTCACAAGGCTGAGGAGGCCTCAGGAAACTTACAATCATGGTGGAAGGGGAAGCAAACATGTCCTTCTTCACATGGCAGCAGCAAGAAGAAGTGCAGAGTGAAGGGGGAAGCCCTTTGTAAAACCATCAGATCTTGTGAAAATCACTCACTATCATGAGAACAGCATGAGGGTAACTGTCCCCATGATTCAATGACTTCCCACCAGGTCCCTCCCATGACATGTGGGGATTATGGGAACTACAATTCAAGATGAGATTTAGGTGGGGACACAGCCAAACCATATCACTTCTGTTGTAAACATTTACTGGCTGCCTGATGTATTTCTAATGTGTTGAATGCTATAGCAAAAAGTCATGTATCTGACAAGACCTGAACAATTACACTGTTTAATTTTCCAATTTTGCTGTGGAAGGAACTTGCCTAAATGAGAGGGACAGAGACTTGCCCAAGATACAAGACATAATTAGCTAGTGATAGAGTTGTTATCAGGATTTTTGTCTCTAATTCCCATTTCTATTTTAGTCCACAAAATTCCAAAGGAAAAAGCACAATCCTTGCCTTTAAGAGTCCAAAAATATTCTTAGGGTGATAAATGCTTTTTAAATAAGTTAATGAATCATGGTCATAGTATTTTCCATAAAATTCCAGAGTTTCCTGTCACCAAACAAGGGAGTGTTAGGTATAATTAGATATGTTCCCCTGGTATCCTAAAAGAATTTTCTTATTAAGAATGTTGATGTGTTGTCATGAATATATTATTTATATTGGAAAATATAGATTGCCATTTTAGTCAATGACAGGTTGTCATGAACCCCACATACCAGTGAGGGCACAATCAAGAGACAGAAACCACAGCAATTATTTAAACACAGAAAACTGAAATGAAGGATTGTTAACCAGGCTTGGAGTTTAGCAGGCAACTGAAAGATATCTTGAAGGTAGAGGCTACTAGAGGAAGCTACTACACCTGTGGCTGGAGGAACAAAGGGGAAATATTGGAACTACTACTATTTTAAAATCAAGACCTCTGAGGAGGGGTACCTGCCAGCTTTAGCTGTTGTCTTGGGGCTCAGAGGGGGGGCCCATGACAGGTGGAGGTTGCATTTCATCCATGTCTCCACGGGAGGAGACGTAAAACTGACCATTTTCTGAAAAGATCGTTTTCTTCCCCCTACTGCTTTGCCAGCATCTTTGTGGTTCTCTCAGTTTTGTTTTCTTTTGTCTTTGTTATAAAAATAGCTTTATTTTAACTTTGTTCTTGAATGATATTTTTACTTGGAGTAATATCCTAGACTGGGAGTTATTTTTTGTTTCTTACACCATTTAAAGATTTTATTGCATTGTCCTCTGGCTTCCATTGTTTCTGCTGAGAAGTTGGATGTCTATCAAATTTTTGCTCCTTCTAAAGTAATCTTACTTTGTATGCTGGTTGCTTTTATGATGTTTATTTTTATTTTGGTTTTCTGTAGTTCACTACAGTGTGTCTAACATGTGGATTTCTATTTATGTTATCTATTTCACTGGAGATTTTTCCCTTCAAATCTTGTATCATTTTTTAAAAATTTCATTAGTTGGACTTCACCTTTCTCTAGTAACTCCTTGATTAGCTTAATAATAGACCTTTTGAATTCTTTTTCTGGCACTTCAGGGATTTCTTATTGGTTTGGATCCATTGCTGGTGAGCTAGCATGCACTTTTGGGGGTACTAAAGAATGTTGTTTTGTCATATTACTGGAATTGTTTTTCTGCTTCCTTCTCATTTGGTAGACTATGTCAGAGGGAAGATCTGGGTCTCAAGGGCTGCTGTTCAGATTCTTTTGTCCCACAGGGTGTTCCCTTGAGGTGGTGCTCTCCCCCTTCCTCTAGCGATGGGGCTTCCTGAGGGCCGAACTGCAGTAATTGTTTTGCTCTTCTTGGTCTAGCCACCCAGTGGAGCTACTGGGCTCCAGGCTGGTACAGGGGAGTGTCTGCACAGAGTCCTGTGACGTGCTCTGTCTTCAGGTCTCTCAGCCATGGATACCAGCACCTGCTCTGGTGGAGGTGTCAGGGGAGTGAAGTGGACTCTGAGGGTCCTTGGTGGTAGCGTTGTTAAGTGCGCTGGTTTGGTATAGGTTGGCCTCCAGCCAGGAGGTGGTGCTTTCAAGAGTGCATCAGCTGAGGTTTTATAGAGAAGATACAAGCTTGCCCTAGAGCCCCCAGGAGATTATGTCCTTTGTCTTCAGCTACCAGGACAGGTAGAGAAAGACCACCAGGTGGGGGCAGGGTTAGGCATGTCCGAACTCAGCCTCTCCTTGGGTGGGGCTTGCTGCAGCTGCTGTAGGAGATGGGGCGTGGTTCCCTGGTCAATGGAGTTATGTTCCCAGAGGGATTATGGCTGCCTCTGCTGTGTCATACAGGTCGCCAGGGAAGTGTGGGGAAGCAGGCAGTTACAGGCTTCACCCCACTCCCACACAGCCAGCAAGGCCAGTCTCACTCCTGCCATTCGCCCCCACTCCCAACAGCACAAAGTCTGTCTCCGGGCAGTGGGTGAGCAGGGCTGCAAACCTGCCCCAGGCTATCTGCTTCCCAGCTGAGAAAGTAAGCAGAGTTTTAAGGCTTTGTGCCTCCCCACCTGGACACACCATTGGTCTGGGAACACTGTAACCCAGGATCAGGGACAGGGGGGTCCTGGAGTTCCCAGATGACTTGGAGTTGGGCTGCGGCCCCTGGCAGGCTGGTTGACCTCAGTTTACCTTTTATCCCCATGAAGAGCTATATAGGTTCTCTTCCCAAGCAGGGGATACAGAGCAGAAACTTTATTCCTCCTGGGTCTTTGTGCCAACACTTGTCCCCCGACCCCAAAGTACTTTCAAAAGGATGGCACTGATTTTTAGCCACTGCTCCTGAAATTGGCATGGCCCACAGAAGGCATGTCCCCAGATCCCAGGCTCACCCACCTACAATCGCATTTCTCTTGGCTGCCAGCCGGGCTTGTCTACACCCAGATCCCAGGCTCACCCACCTACAGTCGCATTTCTCTTGGGTGCCAGCCAGGCGTGTCTACACTACTTGGTTGGTTTCCAGTGCCTTCAAGCAGATATGGTTCTATTTTGTCCAAGTTTTCCAGTTATCCTTGGCATCTGGGGGGGTATAGGTGATCTAGACTTCCATTTTTGGAAGTGGAATTTCCTGGGTTGATTTCTTTTCCTGTTTAATATTTAAAGATGCACTGTGGGCCATGTGCGGTGGCTCACACTTATAATCCCAGCACTTTGGGTGGCCGATGTAGGTGGATCACCTGAGGTCAGGAGTTTGAGACCAGCCTGGCCATCATGGTGAAACCCCGTCTCTACTAAAAATACAAAAATTAGCCAGGTGTGGTGGCGTGTGCCTGTAATTCCAGCTACTCAGGAGGCTGAGGCAGGAGGATCACTTGAACCAGGTAGGTGGAGTTTGTAGTGAGCTGAGATTACACCACTGCACTCCAGCCTGGGTGACAGCGAGACTCCGTCTCAAAAACAACAACAAAAACAAAAAGACACACTGTGCATGTCCCTGGCCCAGGGCAGAAGTCACAGCCCAGCCTGTTGCCATTAGACACTCTGTTCCGTGACATGTCCCACGAGTCCCACACGTTGCCGAGGCCAGATCTTTACTGACCACTGGAGCCACCTTATGGCCTCAGGATGTGGCTTTGCTGGCATTCCTGTGGAAGAGGCACTGCCCCATCCATGTGCCACCCTGTGCTGTGATGGGGAGCCTGGCTGCTGCACTCACACTCGGGGTGGAAAGCAAAGCCCGACCCCTAATTTAGCCAGTGGGACTCAGGAGCAGGCCATTCACTTGTTCAATTCTGTCCATACTGAAGAGACGCCGGGCCCCTGGCAAGAGGCTACAGAGCCTCTTGCTTCCCTCAGAACCTCTCCTGGGGATAAGTTCCTGTTGTCCCTAAGTCAGCAATGAGGCTGAACCAAAAAGCAATGTGGCCAGGCCAGGGAAACCTTCTCTTTACGGCCAAGAAGTGGGGACCTGCATCTTTGGCCAAAGCAGACTTATGGGATTTAAGGACAAAGAGGCTAAATACACAAAGAAAAGGTGTGTGTACGTGTTTCCTAGGACTTCTGTAACAAATTATTGCACACCGCATGGCTGGAAACACTGGAAGTGTATTCTGTCACTGTTTCAGAGATGAGACGTGTAATTCAAGGTGTCCACAGGACCATGCACCCTCCAAAGGCTCCAGGGAGGAACTTTCCTTGCCTCTTTCCCTTTCTGGTGTTGTCCACAATTCTGGGTTGTCCCTGGCTTGTGACAACATCACACTATGCTGGCCTTCCTTCTCTGTGTGTCTGTGTGTCCAAATTTCTCTCTCTTATAAGGGTGTCATCATTAGGCTCACTCCAGTCCAGTGTGACCTCATCTTATTTAATGACATCTGCAAAGACCTGATTTCCAAATAAGGCACTGGGTGTTGGGATTTGGACATACCTTCTGAGGGGGAACTCAATCGTACCCACAACAGTGTGCTTCCTCTTTTGGATACACTGGGGATGGTTCCCTCTCTCTGGACCTGATACTGCTCTTTCCCCAAAGGCCACTGATTAGTCAACATGCTCCCTGGGGCTCATGTCAGCCAAGGAGGGCAATTGATTTCCAACCACCTGTCAACATCTGCTTTACCCCCTGGGCTGAGAGCTGAGTTTCCCACAGTGACAAGTAGGTGATAAAAGACAGGTGTCCAAGTGTTTCCTGGAGAAAAAGCACTGGTTTAACTTATTTAATTAGTTCCAGAGAAGCAGTCAGACAGAAATGACACATCCCCTACAGGGCACAATAATCCCGGCTGCAGTTTCTCATCAGATGCTGTGCAGACCAGGATGTGGAAGAACATTGAAAACAAGAAACCAAAGGAAGCACCAAGCCAGAGTTGTGCATCTGTGAGAATTTCAGAAATGGAGGAAAAATCGATGCAAGAATACCCTTCAGAAATGAAAAAATCGACCGAAAATACCCTTCAGAAATGAATTAAAAATCAACACGAGAATACCCTTCAGAAATGAAGGAAAAATCAATGCGAGAACACCCTTTGGAAACGAAGGAAAAATCGATGCGAGAACACCCTTCAGAAATGAAAAATCAACGTGAGAACACCCTTCGGAAATGAAGGAAAAGTCGACGTGAGAACACCCTTCGGAAATGAAGGAAAAATCGACGCGAGAACACCCTTCAGAAATGAAGAAAAGTCGACGCGAGAACACCCTTCGGAAACGAAAGAAAAATCGATGCGAGAACACCCTTCGGAAACGAAGGAAAAATCGACGCGAGAACACCCTTCGGAAATGAAAGAAAAATTGATGATCTCCAGTGAGGACGCACTAAGAGAATTTGTTGCCGGCACACCTGCTTTAAAAGATGCCAAAGCAAGTTCTTCAGCTTGAGGGAAGATACAGAGGAAAACCCACAACCCCAAGAAGGAAGAAAGGGCAAGACAAGCAGTAAATGTCCAAGGAAACACAGCACACTATTGTTCTCCTCTTTACCCCAAGTGACTTTTCTTGCTCTGAATCTATTTTGTCTCACATGAATAGAGCTGTTTGAGGATTTTTGTGTAACTGATGTTGGCCTGATAGCTCTTTTCCCATCCTTTGACTGTGAAACAGTCTGTATCATTACATTGAAAATGAGTTTCTTGTAGACAGCATGTAGATGAGTCTTTAAAGTACATATGATGGTTGAAAGCAACAATTAACAACATTGCTTGGTTGAATTTTCAATATGTGCAGGTGCAATACGATGACTGTGACAAAGGGCACAGTGAAGGGGCCTTGGTGGGGACAAGGTCCCAGCATTCCAGCCAGAAGTGGTAAAATATTAATTCTGCATAGACTGGCAAGGTGAGGAGGAGTTAGAATGTATATTGCAATCCTTAGAATGACAATACACAGAGATAGAATTCAAGAAACCATTAGATAAATCAAAATGAAATACCACAAAATATCCCAATAATCCAAAAGAAGACATGCAAAGGGGAAAAGGAGAAAAAATCAGAGGTGCCAAATAGAGGACATGCAAGAAATGCTGGACCTAAATTCAGACACATCAGTAATGAATATAAATGTAGATGATCTAAACATACTGATTAAAGGCAGAAATTATCAGACTGGATAAAGGCAAGTCTTATCTACAGGCTGTCTATAAAAACCCTCTTTAAATACAAAATATAGGCAGATTAAACATAAAAGGATAGAAAAAGATATGCCAAGCAAACACCAATTAAAAAAACTGGAGTGACAAAGTAGATTTCAGAGCAAGGAAAATTCCTAAGAGTAAAGAGGGACGTTGCATAATGACAAAGGATCAACTCCCCAAGAAGACCTAGTAATCCTAAACACATATGCACCCAACGATAGGGCTTCCAAACACACAAGACAAAGACGATAGAGCTGCCTGAAAGGGAACAGGCAGCTCCATACTGGAATTGGTGACCCCAACATTCCCATCTCAGTTGGTTAGGGCTGCCATGTCAAAATACCACAGACTGGGGCCTTAAAGGGCAAAAATTTGTTTTCTCACCATTCTGGAAGCTGGAGGACCAAGATGAAGGCTGTTGGGGTTGACTTCTCAGTGTTCTCACATGGTATTTTTTTGTGCTGGTGTGGAGAGTGAATGATTCCTGGCTTCTTTCCATCTTCTTGTAAGGACATAAGTCCTATTGAATCGGACCCCCTCATATGACTTCTTGCAACCATAATCACCTCCTTACAGGCCCTGTCTCTAAATACAGTTACATTGGGGGTTAGGGCTTCAACATGTGAATTTTGTGGGACACAATTCAGTCCATAACAACTCCTCTCTCAGTAGCTGATAGAAAAGTGGACAGTAAATTAGCAGGATATGGAAGAACTGACCAGCTCCAGGAACCAACTGGACCTAACTAACATTTATAAAACGTTCTGCCAAACAACATCTACATACACTTTCTTTTTGGTCATAAAATGCATGTGAAAAAATTTAAAATACAAAAAACCTACAATGGTGTTAAACTAGAAATCAATAATATAAAAATGCCTAGAAAACCTCCAAATAGGTGGAAATTAAACAACACACTCCTTAGACAATGCAAATGTTGAGGAGAATGGCTCAGAAAAACTGGAAATCACTTGAACTGAATGAAAATGAAAAATATAGCAAAATGAAACAGTGCTTAGAGAGAAATTTATAGAACTAAATGCTTATAGCCCTACAAGCATTTAGTTAGAAAAGAAATGCTAATATTAAAAACAGAAGAAAATTATAAATCAACAATCTAAGCTTCCACCTTAAGAAATTACGAAAATAGGAGCAAATTAAACTGAAAGCAGGCAGAAGGAAGGAAAGAATAAAGATAAGAGAAACCAATGAAATAGAAAACAGAAAGACAACAAAGAAAAATCAATAAACTAGAGGCTGGTTCTTTGAAAAGATCAGTAAAATTGATAAAGCTTTAACCAGACTGATTAGCAAGGGAGAAAGAGAGATAAATTTCCAGTATCAATAATGAAAGAGGATATATCACTATTGACCCACAGACATTAAGAGGGCAATGCACGAACATTATGAGCTACTCCCTGCATATACATCTGACAACTTTGAAGGAATAAGCCAATTCTTTAAAAGCCACAAACTACCAAAACTCACTCAACAAGAAATAGATGGCCTGAACAACCCTTTTGTATTAAAGTAATTGAATTCATAGCAGAAAAACTTTCTGAAAATGAAAATTCCAGACACAGATGGTTTCATTAGCAGATTTTATGAACAGGTAATGAAGAAATATTACCAATTCTGCACAATCTCCTCCAGAAAATAGAAGAGAAATGCTTTCCTACTCATGTTATGAAAACAGCATTACTCCAGTGCCAATGCCAGATAAATGACAGTACAAGAAACAAAACTACGTACAAATATCTCCCATGAACATAGATGCAAATGTATAAATTGTGACAGTAGCATGCAAGGCTGGCTAAACATCTGAAATTCAATCAGCACTCTCCACTGTATTGACAGACCAAAGAAGAAAACACACACGATCATCTCAAATGACGCAAAAAACAATGTCAAAATTCAAGAATCATTCATGGAAAAAGTCTCAGCAAACTAGGAGCAGTGAGGAACTTCCTTAACCGGATGGAATGTATCCATTAAAAACCCACAGATGACGTCGCACATAGTGGTGAAAAACTGGATACTTCCTCCCTAAAATCTGGAATGAGGATAGGCGGTCCCCACTCCCATCCTTGCCAACATCATCCTGAAAGTCCCAGCTAGTGCAATAAAGCAAGAGAAGGAAATAAAAGGCATTCAGACAAGAAAGGGAGAAAGAAAACCATCTCTATTTACAGAGAGCATAATTGTTTATGTAGAACATTCCAAGGAATTTACCAAAAAAGACACAAAAACCTCACCTATAACTAGTCCATGAGTTCAGCAGTGTCACAGGATACAAGATTGGCACACACGTGTCAATGGCGTTTTTATCTAATAACAGTGAACACGTGGGAATTGAAGTTTAAGTCTCAGTCCCACTGACAGCCCTGCCAAGAGAATGAAACACAAACACACTTAACACAACACGAGTAGATGAATAATGGGCAAAAGAGGGAAGAACTCATTCACCAAGGACATTTGGATGGCAGATAAGAACACGAGATGCTCGACATCGTCAGCCACGAGGGAATAAAAATGTACACCACTGATGTGTGGAACCACCACACACCTGTGAGAACAGCGCGAGGAAAAAGGAAACGCGTGGTCACACCCAGCACTGGCGAGGACGCGGAGCCCCTGGCTCTCCTGTGCCACTGCTGGGGGTGTGACGTGCGGCAGCTGCTCCAGACGACAAGGTGGCAGTGTATTTTAATGTTACAACTATGCTTACCTTGGGATCCAGCAACCCCCTGCCTGGACATGCATGCTGGAGAAATGAAAGTTTATTTCACGGGAAAATCTACACACGACTGTTTGTAGCGGCTTCACTCCAGGGATTAGAAAATGAACCACTTACTTGAATCCAGTGAATATTCACCAAAAACAACCAACCAAATGTGTAAACAACATTGAGACCTACTAGAAACAACAAATACCTGCTTACATATGTTAATTGTTTGCCCATTTTGCCTCTGTGGACTTCCATTCCAATTCTTTATTCTTCCAATACCTATGACTGTTTCTATTTAAGGTGTTAAAGGAAACGTTTGACGGATCGAATAACTGATATGACATTTATCTTACTTTACTTTTAAAATCTCAACTTTTATTTTAGATTTAGGGGCACACGTGCAGATTTGTTACATGAGAATATTGTGTGATGCTGAGGTTTGGAGGACGGGTGCCATCACCCAGATGGCGAGCATCATACCTGAAGGAAGTTCTTTAATCCTCCATCCCCAACCCTCCAGGAGGCCCCAGTGACTTTTGTTCCCATCTTTTTGTCCACGTGTCCTCAATGTTTAGCTCCCACTTGTAAGTAAGAACATGCGGTATTTGGTTTTTTGCTCCTGCATTAATTTGCTTACGAGAATGGCCTCCAGCTGCATCCATGTTGCTGCAAAGGACACGATTCCATTCTTTTTATGGCTACGTAGTATTCCACAGTGTATATGTACCACGTTTTCTTTATGTAGTCCACCACTGATGGGCACCTAGGTTTGTTCCATGTCTTGCTATCGTGAATAACGCTGTGATGAACATATGTGTCCTTTTGGCAGAATCCTTTATTTTCTTTTGGGTATATACCCAGTAATGGGATTGCTAGGTTGAATGGTAGCTGTGTTTTAAGATCTTTGAGGAATCTCCAGACTGCTCTCCACGGGCCTGGGCTAATTTATGTTCCCACCAGCAGTGCGTGAGCATCACCTTTTTTCTTCAGCTTCACCAGCATCTGTTGTTTTTTTGACTTTGTAATAATCGCCATTCTGACTGCTGAGCTGGCATCTCATTGTGGTTTTGATTTGCATTTCTCTGATAATGAGAATTTTTTCTTATACTTGTTGGTCACTTGTATGTCTTGTTTTGAGAAGTATCTGTTCATGTCCTTTGCCTTTTTTTTTTTTTTTTTGAGACAGAGTTTCACTCTGTAGCCCACGCTGGAGTGCAGTGGCGCAATCTCGGCTCACTGCAAGCTCCTCCTCCCTGGTTCACGCCATTCTCCTGCCTCAGCCTCCCGAGTAGCTGGGACTACAGGCGGCCACCACCACGCCCAGCTAATTTTTTAATATTTTTTAGTAGAGACGGAGTTTCACCGTGTTAGCCAGGATGGTCTCGATCTCCTGACCTTGTGATCCGCCCGCCTCAGCTTCCCGAAGTGCTCGGATTACAGGCATGAGCCACCGCGCCCGGCCGCCCATTTTTTAATGGGGTTGTTTTTTGCTTGTTGATTTGTGTAAGCGTCCTATAGATGCTGGATATTAGGCCTTTGTCAGATGCATAGTTTGCAGACATTTTCTCCCATTCTGTAGGGTGTCTGTTTCCTCCGTTGGCAGTTTCTTCTGCTGTGCAGAAGCTCTTCAGTTTAATTAGGTATCACTTGTCTATTTTTGTTTTTGTTGCAATTGCTTTTGAGGACTTAGCCAGCGTTCTTTGCCAACGCCAACGTCAAGAAGACGTTGTCTTCCAGGATGTTTATAGTTTGACGTCTTGCATTTGAGTCTTTAATCCATCTAGAGTTGATTTTCGTCTATGCGGAAGGGTAAGAGTCCAGTTTCCTTCTTCTGCCTGTGACTGAGCTGCTTATCCCAGCACCATCTATCGGACAGGGAGTCCTTTCCCCGCGGCTTGTTTTCGTTGGTCTTGTCAAAGACCAGACGGGTGTATGTGTGCAGCTTCATGTCTGAGTTTTCTATTCTGTTCTATATGATAATGAAACCAAATCAATGTCTCTGCTCAGACCCCTTCTGACAAGGTCTGTGGCGCCCACCATGGCGTTAGGGCCACAGCCTCCTGCCCCATGTGCCAGGCCCGGCTCTGCCCAGCTCCCTGCAGCTGCGCCAGTGTGTGCTGTGACTCGTGCTCCTGGTTTGTCATCTGCCTCTCAGTAGACACCACGGCCTTCAAGCTTTCTCCGCTCCGTGACCAGCAGCTGGGACGGGACCAGCAGTGCATGCGGCTCTGGATTCATGTTTGTTGAATGACTGACTGAACGGAGGCTCCCTTACAGAAGTGAACGGCGCGGCCCTCCCTGAGTTCCGGCCTGGCTCTGGATACCAAGGAGCAAGGTGGTCAGGGGTCAGGGGCTGGAGTGGGGAGATTGCCTGGGAGGGGGCTGGAGGGTGTGGTGGAACTGCAGGTTCTCTCCTTGACATGCCTGTGGGGGAGCCTTTCCCGGCCCTCTCTCCGCTGGTTTTCACCCTTTCTCCGGTGCAGCCACACTGGGCATCCCACCCCAGGGATCCAGGAAGGGGGCGTGTCGGCCGAGTGCGAGCCCGTTTCTGAACACCCTGTGAAGTTGGTGAGAATTCAGGTGCCTATCGGCCGGGCTCCACCTGTGCACCAGGTGTGGCCGCCTCACTGTGACTTCAAAGGTCCCCGGGGAGGAAGGAGGCTCCCAGCTGCACACAGGTGAGTCAGTCCCATTGTTCCGTGTGTCTGAAAAATCAATCGGGTCCAAAGTAAAAATATTTATTTAATGAGCAGAAATGTATGGCCGATCGGTTTTTAAAGGATATTGCTTCCTGCTCCTTGATACTGAAAAGGGGCGTTAGAAGAAATTCATTTGCAGGGATTGAGTTCTGGAAATGGCCATTCTAGGTGAAATAAGGACAGAAAATAGCACAGCACCCGCCAAAGACAGCTCATTCTCTTCCTTGGGGTGCTGGGGGACACGGGCGCCCCTCGGGGGCAGGAGGATCCCAGCGGGAGGACACTGGGCACTGCGTGAAGTCTCCCCTGGGAGCCCCAGTGAGGGGCAGGTGATGGCCCCGAGTGTCCCTGGGTCTCCCAAACGAACGTCTGGGCTTCTCTGGGAGGAGGACTCCACCCTGCAGAAGAGAAGGGTCTGGGTCAGAACCCAGTGAGTCCGGGGCTCCCTCCGCCTCCTTTGCTCCCTGTGAGATGGGCACGGAGAATGAGTCCCTCCGTGGACGTGGACGCCTGGTGGTTCTCGGCCGAGATCGCACCCTCGTGGCACCTGCCGGGGACCGCCCAGCTCCTGCAGCTGCGGTCTCTGGAGAGCACCGCCGGGATCCCCACGGCTCGAGAACCCGCGGTGCGTTTTGTAGGGTCAGCATTTGCGTACTGGGTCTGCTGCACTCCCTTCCTCGCGCGGCTCCCCGTTCAGCTCCCTGCAGGCGTCGGGACCTTGCTGCGCGGCTCCTCTTCCAAAACCCACAAGGTTCTGAGTTCCTGGGGCTTTGTCCCCCCAGTCTGTGGCCGCCGCAGGGCCTCCTCCTGGACCAGCCCGAAGGGCACATGGGGATGGCGCCTCAGGGCTCCGGTAGCGAAGGCCACACAGAAGTCCCGAGGACCCTGGCAGCGGCCGTCTCCTGCGTCTTGGTCCCTGAGGACCCTGGGCCTTCCTGGCAGTGGAGGCTGGTGTCTCTCACTCTCTCCAGGTGCAGGCCAGCGCTCAGCTAAATGCCTTCAGAGCTCCGGCTGAGATGTGCAGCACCCGCCACCGTCAGTCTTCGTGTGTTGGGGCGTGATGGGGATGGTGTCTCAGTCCTATGTTCTCGTGCTGCTGTGTTTGGGATGTGTCAGTTTCCCATGACTGCTGGAACAAGCTACCCCAGCCTTAGGGGCTCAGAACAACACGCAGGACTCTCAGGCTTCTGGAACACGGCCCCCACTCCCTCCCGAGGCTCTGGGCCAGGATCCTCCCGTCGCCTCCAGCTTCTGCTGTATCGCTCCATGGCCGGCTCCTCTGTGCCTCTTCTCTCTGTGTCTCTCTTCTGTCTCTTAGAAGGACATTGGTGAATGCATTTAGACCCCCAGGCCCCACCCCCCGATAACCCAGGAAAAGCACCTCTTAAGATCCCTATGTTTATCACAGCTTTTGCCTCAGAGGTGACATTCGAAGCGCTGGGGTTTTGCACAGATTTTGGGGGAGGTCTTAATCAGCTCAGGTGGCCATAGCAGAAAACCACACACGGGCAACCCGAGCAGCAGACATAGGTTTGTTGAGCAGCAGACACAGGAAGCTCCCACCACTCTGGGGTGGAAGCCGGAGATCCTGGCACCAGCTGACTGGCCTCCTAGTGAGGGCCCTTCCTGGTTTCCCGGTGCGACAGAGAAAGGGGAGGGCAGCCCTCTCCTATGAGGGCACTGATCCCACTGGGAGGACCCCACTCCACACACCGCAGCACTGGGGTTGGGGTTCCACCCGTGACTCCTGCAGGAGCACAAACGTGCAGCCAATAGACCACATGCCTCTGGGCAGCAAAGGTCCCCTGTCACCTGCACTGCATTCTCCCGGTGCTGCCTCTGAGGACAAGGCTGGCTCCAGCGGGCTCAGTGCTGACTACCAGGATGCAGGAGGCCTGCCCGCTCGCCATAGCTGCGAAGCCGGCTGATTACATTTCAGGCTTTTGTTTATTCCCCATCCCAACCCGCTCCTTCATCCACACAGACTGCTCGGACCTGGACTCAGGCCAGGCTGGACACCAGGCAGACGGAGGGACGTCCCCAGCAGCCAGCTCCCTCTGTCCGAGCAGACGGAGGGACGTCCCCAGCAGCCAGCTCCCTGTGTCCAAACAGACGGAGGGACGTCCCTAGCAGCCAGCTCCCTCTGTCTGAGCAGATGGAGGGACGTCCCCAGCAGCCGGCTCCCTCTGTCCTAGCCCTGGGAAGGTGGGGTCCTCCAGAGCTCCCCTCCGCAGCCCCAGCCACTCCCATGCTCCAGCTCCTGCCCCCTCCCGGGGCTCTATCTCCCCACAGAGAAAGGGGGTCCCTCCGCTGGGCAGGCACAGCCTCCTTCCAGGCCTTGTTACGGGCACCTGCACACGTGCCTGTGCCACCTAAGCTGTGCCCGCGCCACCTAAGCTCTGCCCGCCACCTCGGCAGATGCCAGGGTCCACAGGAAGGCATTGGGTGCAACAGTCACTCAGCTGTTGTGTTTTCTTTCTCTTAGCCACAGTCTAGTCCTAGCAGCAGTGACCTTGGTTTGGAGCCCGGGTTGGGGACCCCAGTGATGCCAATTTTCTTTGCCCTCATCATCCCAAGGCGGCTGCTGCAGTTTCAGACATCACAACTTTGTTCAGCGCAAAGGAGAAGGGGGACAGGGTATGTGCCACTTACACGTTTCTTCTTCTGGAAAATCTAAACTTTACCTGAAAATGCCACCGTAGCCTCATGCTTGCTTCTCACCAACCCGAGCTGTAAGAGATGGCTCCATCCTCTACACCAGAAATGGGCAAGGCCCAAGAGGGCTGGGAACTGCCAGTCCCCTTGAGGGCCTTCTTATTTTTAATTTTTAGGGATGAGAAAACTGGAGTTCGGAGATGGGCTTGCTCACGGCCTCACAGCCAGGGAGCCTGCTCACCCCAGTGTGTGCCCAGCCAGAAACCTGCGTCTGGGCCCCCAGAGGCTGGGCTCCTCACAGTGGGGACCCACCATGTCCACTGCCTGCAGGAACCGACAGAGAGGCTGTGATGCTGAGCCCCGGCCTCATGCAACAAAGCTTTGCCCGACGGAATGCACCCAGCGGCAGTGGAGAGCAGTGCTGGATCCTGCGGGGTTGAGGCGGTGGAGCTTGGTCAGCATGGGGTGCAGGGGCAGGAGGGGGGACGTGGCCAGGGGCCAGGGGCCCGGGAGCAGTCAGGGCTGGTCGGCTGACCAGAGGCTCAAGGAGAAGGTGAGCTTTGAGTGATGGTCACTGGGCCATATGGGGTGGGGCAGCTCTGGCTCTGAGAGAACTCCTGCTTGGAGGAGGCCTTGGGCTTCCTGAGGCTGGTGGCCCCCAGGCCACACTCTGCCCTGGCCCTAAGGGACTCTGAGCTCTGGGCTCCCCGAAGCCTCAGAGATGAGGAGCAAGCAGCTGCAGGTCCCCAAGCCATAGTGGGGGAAGCCTGGGACTTTGCAGGGGATGCCAGGTTATATCTGATGCTGGCCCCTGGTCCTGATCAGCCTGCTTTTAACAGCAGATGGCGGAAAGAGAGGCAGAGGTGGTGTACTAGGCTGTTCTTGCATTGCTATAAAGAAAACCTGAGACTGGGTAATTTATAAAGAAAAGAGGGTTAATTGGCTCATGGTTTTGTAGGCCGTACATGAAGTGTAGTGCCAGGATCTGCTTCTGATGAGGCCTCAGGAAGCTTCCAGTTGTGGTGGAAGGTAAAGGGGGAGCAGATACATGACACTTTAAGAGGGGGGCAAGTCAGAGGGAGGAGGCACCTCACATTGTGAGAGGAGAGCAAGTCAGAGGGAGGAGGCACCTCACATTGTGAGAGGAGAGCAAGTCAGAGGGGGAGGCGCCTCACATTGTGAGAGGAGAGCAAGCCAGAGGGGGGAGGCGCCTCACATTGTGAGAGGAGAGCAAGCCAGAGGGGGGAGGCGCCTCACATTGTGAGAGGAGAGCAAGCCAGAGCGGGGAGGCGCCTCACATTGTGAGAGGAGAGCAAGCCAGAGGGGGGAGGTGCCTCACATTGTGAGAGGAGAGCAAGTCAGAGGGGGGAGGCGCTTCACATTGTGAGAGGAGAGCAAGCCAGAGGGGGGAGGCGCCTCACATTGTGAGAGGCGGGCTGTGAGAGAGGGGCAAGTCAGAGGGGGAGGCACCTCACATTGTGAGAGGGGGGCTGTGAGAGGGGGGCAAGTCAGAAGGGGGAGGCGCCTCACACTTTTTTTTTTTTTAATTGAGATGGAGTCTCACTCTGTCGCCCAGGCTGGAGTGCAGTGGCGTAATCTCAGCTCACTGCAACCTCTGTCTCCCAGGTTCAAGCAATTCTCCTGCCTCAGCCTCCCAAGCAGCTGGGATAACAGGTGCGCACCACCACACCCAGCTAATTATTTTTGTGTTTTTAGTAGAGACAGGGTTTCACCATGTTGGCCAGGCTGGTCTTGAACTCCTGACCTCAAGTGATCCACCCTCCTCAGTCACCCAAAGTGCTGGGATTACAGGTGTGAGCCACTGCGCCCAGCCACCACACACTTTTAAACTACCAGATCTACCAGAGTGAGAACTCACTTATCACCAACAGGATGACCCACGCCATTCAGGAAGGACCCACTCCTGTGATCCAAACACCTCCTACCAGCCCCCACCTCCAGCACTGGTGATTACATTTCAACATGAGATCTGTGGGGACAAACATCTAAACCATATCGAGTGGGCTCAGGAGGCAGCAGCCCTGGAAGATGCCGAGTGCCTGGGAGGACAGAGGAAGATGCCGGAGTTCACGGGTGCCATGTGCAGGTGCAGCTCCTGCCAGGCGGCTGAAGATGGGGCTCCAGGTGGTGGCAGTGCCCCAGCCCCACCAGTCCTTCCTGGGGAGAGGGTCACGGCTCAGTGGCTGAAGGGCTGGGGGGCTTGTCTGAAAGGAGTGAATGCCTGCCCATCAGGCACTTTCGGAAAAAGCTGGAAACCAAGATTTCCCTGAGAAGTCCTGGGCTTTCTGGTGTTGGGAACTATAGGAAGCAGCCGGCTTCTGCTTCCCCTCCAGGGTCCAGGAGAGAATTTGTTTTGGACAAACCTTCTAGGCCACATGCTTGGAGCACCTCTGACCTCACCCAGTGCCATGCCCCCCAGCTGAGGCCCGGCCCCTGCATGTGTTCAGGGATGTGAGGTCAGGGAGTGGTTCAGGGATGTGAGGCCTAGCACTGGTCCGCAGGCCTCTGGGAGCCCTCTGGGCCCCTTGCAGAGCGGGGCAGCACTTGGCTGAGGACTGCGAGGGCTGAGCTGTCCTGACCCAGTCCTGGGATAGCAGAGCCGCCCACCCTGCCTGGGGGCTCCTGGGTGTCTCCTGCAGCCACGCCACTTGTAGCTGGGTTCTGTCCTGGGACAGCAGAGACACCCAGCCTGTCTCAGGTCTCCAGGGCGTCTCCTGCAGCCACGCCACTTGTAGCTGGGCTCTGTGCTTGTTGTCAGTGCAGCCCCAGCAGCCCAGAGCGGTTCACAAGCTCCCAGACCGATTTACCTGCTCCAGTGAAACTCCTATGAGGGCACTGAAACTTCCCATTATTACAGGGCTCCGGCCCACAGCCATGGGGATGCCCCTTCCCACACCAGCTCCTGCAACTGGAAGGCTGTGGGCCACTCACTCTGAAGCCTCCCCTTTCCAGACACAAGGGCAGGAGTCAAGGGCAGTGGCAACATCCCCCAGAGATGCCGATGGACGGTGTTTCAACCTAAATCGGACAGCCGCACTCCCTCCCTGGCCACACAGCAGGACAGAGACCAGGACACAGCGGCCCACCCGCTGCCCTCACACTCCCCTCCTCCACGGTGTGAACTAAACCGCACACGTGGCCTGTTACTCGGACAAGGTGGGAAGGTGTGGCCCCACCCCCTCCTAAGACATTACGATGCGGAGAACCCCCAAGCCCACCCTCAACTGTGTTCACTGGAAACAGCCCAGCAAGGGCTACGTGTGCCTTCCGGTTTCACATTTGGGAAGTGGGTAAAATGCAGTATTGACAGTTCTCAAATATTGGTGTTGATCTTAACTGCTAGAGATACCGTGAGGGAAAAGAGCGCTTTTGTTCAACGTTTATGAATGGATAAAGGAGGAACTGAAACCAGCAAAGGGGCGGCTGGCCCTGGACCAGACGCGGCTTCGCCGAGGAGCTGTGGGCAGGGTGGGCCGGCACCTCCTTTCCTCTCGAGAAGGATGTGGAGAGCAGGTGGCTCGTGCCACCTGCCTCCCTGGCCCTCGTCCATGCCTCTGCACTGACCGCTGGGCTCCTGCCGCCCGGGGATGTGGGGAAAGGCCTTGGAGTGGGATGGAGGTCCGCGTGTGGGTGTGTGGCAGGTACCGGTGGATTGAGGTCCATGTGTGGGTGTGAACCTGGGTGTGAGACTGTGTGTGGGTGGGTGTGTACGTGAGTGTGCATGTGCACGTACACCTGTGTATGTATGCGTGTGAGGTGTGTGAACTGTGAGTGTGCTGTGGCTGTGAGCGTGTGCACACGTGAACTGAGCGTGACAGTGCGAATGTGTGTGCCGCGAATTCCACTGGCCACATGAATGCAGGCGAGGCCGCTCCGCTAGGCTGTGGATTTCCAGCATGGCCACGCTGGTTGCCTGTGTTGTCTTGTTGACACAGGATGGAGAAAGAACGATGCAGGATGCATCTCTGAGCCTGGCTCAGGCACCCAGAGGGAGCTGGGTTTGGGAGCAGCTGCTCTGCGTAGCCCTGGCTTGGATGCTGCGAGCCAGGTGGGCCTGGGGTGAGCGCTCGTCCCTGGGGTGGGTGGAGGCCCCCATTTCCCTCTCAAGTCCCCTCACTGTACATCACAGCCTCCTCCCACCCCCGCTCTGTTTAGAGAAAGCCCAGAGGCCCCTCAGGCTGAACCTCCAGCCCTCTTCTCTGACCATGTGGGTCTCCCTGTTTCCTTCCGCTGGCCTGGTCTCTGTAGGGCTCACTGAGCCTGCAGTCTGGGACCCACAGGCTTGAGGATTGAGGCTCGGGGCCTGGGAGCCTCCCTGGGATGTTCTAGAAAGCTATGGATGGGGCACCTGTCAGGGAGACAGCACACGGAGAGCCTCTCCCACCTGGGTCCTACCATAGCGGCCTGGGCCTGTGGGCTTAAAGAGCCGCTCCGGAATTTAACTGGGCCTGAGGGCTGGTGCCCTGTGAGGAACCCGGGATAGAACCTGGGGACAGAGGCCTCCATTAGTCCTTGGGAGCGGCAGGTAGCCCATGGGGTCACTGTGATCCCGGCACATTGTGGGAGCGTGCGCTGGGATGGGGAGGGGTCACTGTGAGCACGGTGCGTCGTGGGAGCGTGCGCTGGGATGGGGAGGGGTCATCGTGATGATGGCACAGCACACTCTCCTGTGGTCTAGGTTTAGGGATGCCAGTGAGACCCGCTGAAGCGTTGGGGCCCTACCCGAGGTGAGGCGTGCCCAGGTCTGGGGACTCCTGTCTTGGGGCCCCTCCCAGGAGAACCACCCCCCTCCTCTGGCAGGAAGCCCCCAAAGCTGTGGAGGAGCCCTGGGCCCACAGACAGCATCCCTGCTGCTGGGGACCCCAGGCCTGTGCGGGTGCCGCTGCCATGGGGCTGATGGGGCCCAGCCCAGCAGCCCCTGCCTTTGCTTTCCCGGCTTCTCTGCGGCTCTGTGCTTTTGCTGCCCCATTCCAGGCCGGAAGGCTCCCGCGCCTCCATGGATCTTCATGATTTGGCCAACCAGAGTGAGCACCGTGAGGAAGTGGAGACAGACACAACTTTCAGCAGCAGAAGACAGGATAATAAAGTTGGGTTTGGTTTATGATCTAACGTGACCATTAAAAGTGTTTAATAAACAACGTTAAAGACTACTTAGTGGCAGATGCATCCGGCAATGCTTAGCATAGCCTCATGACTGTCAATACGCACAGGCTTGAAAAACACCTGCAGGATACATGTGGGCATGTTAGTGTGGGTTATCTCAGCAGGGCGGCATATCGAATCTCGGTGCCCTTCTGTAGTGTCTATATTTTCTACAGTGAAGCTGGGATACTTTGGTGAGCAGAGGCATTGTTTTCAAAGTTCCCATTGGTACTTCCATCACATCCCCGTGTGGTTCTGTCCTGGACCGGCTGCCCACTGAGGTCCCACTCGCCCCTACCCTGCCCTGTCTGGCCAGCTGGGTACCTGCCCAGGAGGAAGAGGCTCAGTGTTTGGGGCCTGTGTTATGCCCTGAAAAGCCACTGCTGTTGGGTGAGGGCCCATGAGGCCTTCAGTTTGCCATCGTCATGTGCTTCTGAAGAGCCAGGATGCTGTCCACTGTTTGTCTCCTGGCGGGACAGAATTCCACTCAGTGCATATCAGGGGCAGTGATGGGGCTGGGGGTGTGAGGGCTCAGCTGTGCCCTGAACTCCTTCACAGTCTTGCAGGAGGGGTCATGGAGCCATATCTGGGTTTGCAATTTTTGGAAAGTTACGTGACGATCTGCACTCAGGAATGCTGAGTGTTCGGCAGGCCCCATGAACAGTGATCAAATGTGACGCTGTGTGTCCCACAGCCTAAGGGCTGTGGCAGAGACCAGGAGGGCCATCAGCTCCCACAGCTTTCGAGTCCACCTCAGGGCTCCTCCTTGCTGACCTCCCTGGGTTGTCAGTGGAGACAGCCACCCTCCCACAGAGCACCTGCCTGAAATGGGCCAGGCCGCCCCTGTGCCCTGGCTCTTGCTGCACATGCTGAGGTCAGCACGGAGGCGCCCTCGGGCACCAGCATGCCCTCGGGTTTGCAGCTTGTCAAATATCCCATGAAGGCAACCTGACCAAATGTGCTCTAACACCACTGGACCAATGGAACGTCTTGGGCTGAACAGATGCAGCCTTGCATCCACCGCCTGCCACCACCCTCTGTGTACACCCCCTGCACACACCTCTGCACACACCCCCCCTGCACACTGTTGCACATACCCCCTGCACACAGCCTGTGTACACTCCCTGCACAGATCCCCTGCACACAACTCCCTCACACATCCTCTGCACAAACCCTGTGTATACCCCCTGCACACACCTCTACACATACCTTCACACACCATGTATACCTCCTGCACACACCTCTGCACACACCTCCTGCACACACCTTGTGTACACTCCCTGCACACTGTTGCACACACCCCCTGCACATAGCCTCTGCACACAGCCTGTGTACACTCCCTGCACAGATCCCCTGCACACACCTCCCACACACATCCTCTGCACAAACCCTGTGTATACCTCCTGCACACACATCTACACACACCTCCTGCACACACCTTGTGTACACCCCCTGCACACTGTTGCACACACCTCCTGCACACACCTCCTGCACACACTGTTGCACACACCCCCACACATAGCCCCTACACACACCTCTGCACATACTGTTGCACACACCCCCACACATAGCTCCTGCACACACCTCCTGCACACACCTCCTGCACACACTGTTGCACACACCCCCACACATAGACCCTGCACACACCTCCTGCACACACTGTTGCACACACCCCTTGCACATACACCCTGTATATACCCCCTGCATACTCCTTATGTACAGCACTGCACATACTCCCTGCAGAGACCCTGTGTGCATCCTCTGCACACACCCCTTCTGTATACTGTCTGCACACACCCCCTACATGTACACCCTCTGCACACTCCTCCTGCATACACCCCATGTACACCTTCTGCACACACTCCCTGAACACATTCTGAGTACACCTCCTGCACACCCCGTGTACAACCTCTGCACACACCCCCTACACACTCCCCTACACACTCCCCTACACCATCCACACACACTCCCTGCACACAGCCCCTGCACACATTCCCCATGTACACCCTCTGTCTGTGTATACCCTCGTCTACTACCACCATACGTACCCCCCACCACTACCCTGCCTTGTCTATCACCCCCCAGGCTGTGACATACCAGGGATGTTGCCAACGAGCTGGTCTAATCTGGGGTGAGGGTTTCTGGGTGCCCCTAGACACCAGGAGAAAGGCGGGGAGGGGACACCCCTGGGGGTCTGGATTCACTCCACCAGGCGCTGGGCCACAGTGGTACGGTGACACAGTAGATGTCTTGAGCAGGATTAAAGTCTTCCCAATAAACAGGCTGAACTCTGTCTTCCTTGAAAGCTCTGTAGAAGGACCTCACAAGGATAAACACAGCGAGACCCTCCAGGGCGCGGTCAGCCACGAGCCACAGTGCTGGGCCTGTGACATCTCTGGAGGTTCTGGGGTGGAGAAGGACCGGCCGTGGGGAGTGACTGGCTGGGGAGAAGCTCAGCTCCCGCCCACCTCTGGGAGGCCCGGGGCTGGACGGGAGGTGCAGCAGACAAGGCTCCGGGCGGGTGCTGGGGTGTCTGGAGGGGTCCCCGCGGGGGGGTCGGGTTGGGTGGGGAGTCTAGGTGAGTCGGGGGTCCCCGGGGGCGCTGGGTTCAGGGTGGGAGCGGAGTGTGGATGGGGCAGGGTCCCCATGCCCACCACCAGCCGCGATTCCACCGCGCCTACTCGGGGTTTCCCCGGGAGGACACCGCGTGTGTCAAGGGCCGGGGCCTAGAAGGCGGCCGCGCCCAGGGAAGCCTTGACAGGGAGCTATCTGGGGCGGGGGCTGGGGTCGCGTGGCCAGTACCTGGGAGAACCGCCATTCAGGAGAACCCCCCGCCAGGCTCTTGGTTCCGCCCACGCAGTCCCGCCCCCTCCCCCAGCCACGCCCCTCGCCCCGCCGCGCAGGCCCCGCCCCGTCCCGCCAGGCTCTCGGTTCTGCCGACGCAGGTCCCGCCCCTCTCGTAGCCTCGCCCCGCCCGCCGCGCAGGCGCCGTCCGAGGGCTCCGTTTGAAACATGGCGCGGGCTGGCCCTCGGCTGGTGCTGAGCGAGGAGGCGGTTCGGGCGAAGAGCGGCTTAGGGCCTCACCGCGACCTGGGTGCGCCGGAGGGCGGGCGGGGGTGCAAGCGTGAGGTGGCGGGGGGGTGGGTGCCGAGCTTCCCGGGGCGGCGGCGGACCGTGGGCAGGCGGGACCCGTCTACGCAGGCGCCGCGGGCGTCCGGAACGGTCGCGGGCGAGCGGGGCGCGCGTGTCCAGGTGAGCGACCCACCCCCCGTGCCCAGGTGCGGCCCCTGCCCGCGTTCGGGTCCCGGCGTCCCGGCCCCTGCCTGTCTATCGGGTCACTGGTTCCGTGACTGGGGGTTACATCCGCTGAGAAGAGGGAGCCGGCCTTGCTGTCCAGGAGCGCAGCCCGCCCTCCCGCTGGGGATCACCTCCCTGGTTCTCCTGGGCCCACTCTGTGGTGATTGTTGCGCTCGGCCTTCTTGAGGATGTTGGTGGCCGGTTTCCTTCTTTTTGGCTTATTTTTGTCTGGTTTTGGCGTCAAGGTGAAGCCGAGCTCATAAACTGCTGAGAAGTGTTGCCTTCTCTTATATTTAGAAGAGGTTCTGTAGAGTGTGTGCTCATTGTTTGAATGTTTCCTGGAATTTTCCAGTGAAACCATATGGACATGTCAATTTCTGTTTTTGAAGCTTTTAAATGACAAATTCTGTATCTCTGGTTGTTAGAGAACCGTTCATATTAGTTCACCGCGAGTCTTGGCTGTGTGGGGTTTTGTGGCATTGGCTTATTTGAGCTAACTTGTGGAGTGTGTGTGTTGAGTTGTTTCTGGTGTTCTGTTGTTAGCCTGTTAATGTCTGTGTGTGGTCTGCAGGTGTTACTGGACCAACAGGTTCAGTCAGGTGCTGTGGGGGCCACAGGCCAATACACTGAGACAGTGGGGTTTGCAGCAGAGAAAGAGTTTAAGGCTGGCAGGGGCCCAGCAGGGAGGTGGAAGGAGGCCTCAATCCATCTCCCCAAGGAGATCTGAGCGGTTTTTTTTTTTTAGACGGAGTCTCACTCTGTCGTCCAGGTTGGAGTGCAGTGGCACAATCTCAGCTCACTGCAACCTCCACCTCCCAGGTTCAAGTGATTCACTCAGCCTCCTGAGTAGCTGGGATTACAAGCACGCGCCACCATGCCCGGCTAATTTTTTATATTTTTAGTAGAGACGGGGTTTCACCATGTTGGCCAGGCTGGTCTTGAACTCCTGATCTCAGGTGATCCACCTGCCTTGGCCTCCCAAAGTGCTGGGATTACAGGCATGAGCCACCTACACCCAGCCTGAGCTGGGGGTTTTAGAGGAACAGGACTGTGAGGAGCTGGAAGATTGGTGTTGTCAGTTGGTGGAGGTAAGGGCCATGGAATTATCAGGGTGTGGAAACTGCATTCTTTGGTGAATCCGCTTGCGGGGCCCTTTAGACCAGCTGGCATCAGTCCCCAGGTCCTGAAAGAATATCTCAAATGGAAAACTTAACGGTTTATAATGTCCAGGTTATTATCTGTAGAGTGGTTAAGGGGAACTGTAACCTCGTGACAAAATCCAAGTGATCCTGAGGCAGTAGGCACCACAGGGCTCTGAGGAAGCAGGTGAGAGGGCAGCTGACCTCGGGACATGCCGAGTCCTCCCTTCTTCCCTGATTAGTGCTACAAGGTTTACAGGGATATCCCTTTTCTGTTCCTGATGTTGATAATCTGTGTATTCTTTCTTTTTTAGTCTTGCTAGAGGCTTGTGAATGTTATTGATAGTTTCAAAGAACCGACTTTGGGTTTGATTTTTCTCCAGTGTTTTTCTAGTTTCAAATTTCATTGATTTCTGCTTTTTTTTATTTCCTTCTTTCTGCTTGCTTTGCATTTATTTTATACTTTTCTAAATCCTTGAGGCAAAACTGTAGATTATTGATTTGAGACTTTCCTATTTTCTATTATAAACAGTGCCACAAGTTTCCCTGTAAGCACTGCTTTAGCTGTATCCACAAATTTTGTTATGTTGTATTTTAATTTTCATCCAGTTCAGCGTATTTTAAGAATTTCCCTCGATACTTCCTGTTTGACCTGTGAATTTTTTTTTTTTTTTTTTTTTTGAGGTGGAGTCTCGCTCTGTCACCCAGGCTGGAGTGCAGTGACGCAATCTTGGCTCATTGAAAGCTCTGCCTCCTGGGTTCATGCCATTCTCCTGCCTCAGCCTCCCGAGTAGCTGGAACTCCTGACCTCATGATCCGCCCACCTCGGCCTCCCAAAGTGCTGGGATTACAGGCATGATCCACCGCGCCCGGCCTGACCTGTGGATTTTTAAGGAGTATGTTTTTAACGTTCCATGTGTGGATATTTTCCTGTTATTTTTCTGTGTGATTCCATTATGGCCAGAACATAATCTGTATGATTTTAATTCTTTTAAATTTGTCAGGGTTTGTTTTATGATCCAGCATCTGGTCTATGTTGTTGAATGTTCCAGGTGCACTTGAGTGTGTGTGTATTCTGTTGTTGAGTGGAGTGTTATGTAAATACATAAATATCAATTAGATCCTGTTGGTTGGTGATATTGTTCAGTTCTTCTGTATCCTTGCTGATTTTCTGTCTAGTGACTCTATTAATGACTGAGAGAGGGGTCTGGAACCCTTAACTGTAATTGTGGATTTGTCTGTTTTTTTTTTCACTTTGTATGTTTTGAAGCTCTGTTTGTTGAATTACATAGCTAGGATTTTTATACCTTCTTAGTGGACTGACCCTTTTAGTATATGTAGTCTTCCTCTTTTTTTTTTTTTTTTTTGAGACAGAGTTTCCTTCTTGTCCCCCAGGCTGGAGTGCAGTGGCACGATCTTGGGTCACTGCAACCTCTGCCTCCCGGGTTCACATGATTCCTCTGCTTCAGCTTCCCGAGTAGCTGGGATTACAGGCGCCTGCCATCACGCCTGCCTAATTTTTGTATTTTTAGTAGAGACGGGGTTTCACCATGTTGGCCAGGCTAGTCTCGAACTCCTGACCTCAGGTGATCTCTGCTGGGCTCCCAAAGTGCTGGGATTACAAGTGTGAGCCACGGTGCCTGGGCCTTGTTCCTCTTTTTTCCTGGTAATTTTCTTTGTTGAGACATCTGTCTTATTTGATATTACTGTTGTTACGGTAGCTTCTTTTGATTGGTTTTTGCATGGCGTATCTTTTCCTATCCATTGCTTTGAACTTTTAACCTACCTGTATCTTTATATTTGAAATTAGTTTCCTGGTTCATTATTTTTATTCACTCTGCTAATCTCTGTCTTGTAGTAGTGTTTTAGGCCATTTACATTTAATCTAATTGTTAAATATTAGAACTTAAGTGTGCCATTTTATTGTTTTTTGATTGTTTCCTGTGTTTTTTCTTCTGTTTCCCTTTTCCTGCCTGCTGTGACTTACTCGAATATTTTTAGTATCTCATTTTGATTTATCTGTTATGTTTTGGTGTATATCTCCTTGTATGGTTTTCATAGTGGTGGCTATACAAATTACAATGTATTTATGTAATTCAACACAGTTTACTTGTACAGGTATTTTACTACTTCTAAGTGAAATATAGAAACTTTATCACCATTTAGGTCTCTATCCTCTCCCCTTTACAATTTAGTTGTCTTAAGTATTTCCTCTGCATACCTTGAGAACCGTATTAATATTATGATTTTTTTTAAATACCTAGCCTTTTCAGTAACTCAGGAGGAAACATATTTATCTGCATGTTTATCTGTTCTGTTATTTTTTCTTCATTCCACGATGCTCTAGGTTTCTTTCGTTTTTCCTTTATATTTGAAAAAATTTTTTCAGCAGTTGTCTTAGGGCAGGTCTGCTTGTGACAGATTCTCTTAGTTTTTCTCTACGGTTTTACAGTTTTCATCTGTCATCTCCATTTTGCTATTAAACTGCTCTTGTGATTTTTTGTTATTGTATTTTTCTTTGAAATTTCTATTTGTTTCTTCTTTATATCTCCTGTTTCTTTGCTAAGACTAGTTTTTCCTTTGTCTCAGGTGTTTGTAATTGCTCATTGAAGTATTTTTTATGACAGTCACTTTAAAATCCTTGTTAGACCTAAGTTCTGTGTTCTCTCTTGGTGGTATCTGTTGATTGACTGTGTTTTCTCATTCAAATTGCCATTTTTCTGGTTCTTGGTCATTTTTTATCATATTGTGGACATGCTGGGTATGATGTCATGAGACTCTGCTTCCTGTTTAAATCCCCTTACTTGAGAAGACTCCTCACTCGAGCCTGCTGGGTGCCACCTTGTTGCCGGGACAGTCATGGAGCTCCTGCCTCACCCACGGCCTCTGGCAGACCCTACTGGCTGGGAGAGTGAAGGGCACCACCTCGTTCTAGCCAGGCCGGGACAGCAGTCAGGATCCATTCTCACACCCCGGTGCTGGCTGCTGCGCAAGGCCAGGTGGACGAGGGGTGTGTGTGTGTGTGTGTGTATGTGTGTGTGTGTGTGCGCGCGAGTGGGGGTTTGCTTGCAGGAGGGCTGATGATGTGAAGAGAGTCTGTCCTGCAAGGCCCCTCCTGGTGCCAAGTGGACGAGGGGTGTGTGCGTGTGTGTATGTGTTGTTGTGTGTGTGGGTGGGGGTTTGCTTGCAGGAGGGCTGATGATGTGAACAGTGTGTGTGGTTGCAGGAGGGCTGATGATGTACAGAGAGTCTGTCCTGCCAGGCCCCTCCTGGTCCTTTGGCCATCGAGAGCAGGCTTACGGTTTTTGGTCTTTTTGTGTTTCTGGGCTGCCGACTTCTGTGGCACCCAGAGTGGGATGTGTAGTAAATAAGCATAAACAAAACCCCAGAGTCAAGCCAGGGACTCAGCGCTGGGTTCTCTCTCGAGTGCCGAGGCCCCTGGCTGGTTGGCTTCTGTTCCTTTCAGTCCCCCAATGCTTGTTCCGTATATTTTCCTCCAGGGCAGTGGGTCTAATATGCGGGAGGAGCAGGTTGAAATGTGTCCTCTCCATGTTGCCTGGAACTGGAAGAGCTCAAACCAAATTTTAAACTTAATCAGAACATATTCTGGTTGGGTGTGGTGGCTCATGCCTGTAGTCTTGGGAGGCCGAGGTGGATGGATCACCTGAGGTCAGGAGTTCGAGACCAGCCTGGCCAACATGGTCAGGAAACCACAAGACTGTCACGGAAACCCTTTTCTTTCAGTAACATGAGCCAAAGGTCACTGCACCTTGTCCCCTCCTGACCCTGTCCCGGTGGCAGGGTGTGGGGGACAATGAACTGCTTGTCTGTGTGCCTCCAAGTGGGGCAAAACCAGGCAGCATCCTGCTGTTTAGCTGCACCTGAGACGATGCCTGAGGGCTACCTGAGGAAACAGGGAAACGTGGGGTTTTAGCCGGATGTGGTGGCGTGTCCCTGTAATCCCAGCTACTCAGGAGACTGAGGCGGGAGAATCACTTGAACCTAGGAGGTGGAGGTTGCAGTGAGCCGAGATCGCACCACGGTACTCCAGCATGGGCAACAGAGTAAGACTCCATCTGAAAACAAAAACAAAAAAACCAAAACATATTCTAAAACATAAAT
The DNA here is from genome assembly GCF_000001405.40 of Homo sapiens. NCBI lineage: Eukaryota > Metazoa > Chordata > Mammalia > Primates > Hominidae > Homo > Homo sapiens. The sequence goes on along the minus strand of NT_187550.1, from coordinate 8,989 downwards.
GTTCCCAGGAAAGTATTGATGTATTCGGATCTAAACTGCCTTTTTGATTACGGAAACTTTCATCTTGTAATTAATGTTGATGTAGTGACTGCTTATGGGGTGCGTGGAGCTTGCACAGCCCGACCACAGTTGTAACAGGAGGACAGCAGACAGGTTACCCGACGAGTGGGTTTCAGATGGTGATGGCTGCAAGGGGTGACAGAATTGAGCAGCCAGAAGTGGAGGCGGGAGATGAAGTAGAGGGGTGTTCCTGGGGAGAGACGGTTTTGGAGGGAGAGGCAGTAAAGGTGGGAAGAAGCGTGTGGGCTTGGAGGTATTGTAGAGATAAACATAAGCCGAAACTTCAGGTACGTTCCTTGCTCGTCAGTGCTGATATTCCAACTCCAAAGGAGTTGCACTGAGTTCTAGGTGCCTCTTTCAGATTACGAGGATACATATCTCTCTGAGAAAAGCTGAAAATACAGAAATGTGTAAGAGGGAAAATAAAGGGATTTATTCCACAATAGGACACATGTGTTAAAGTTTGTCTTTCAATCTTTTTACATATACTGTTAGAGGAAGAAATGTTTTGAATGACCCTTGTCAGGCACAGTGAGGAAGGCTTTATTCAGAACCATTGAGGTGGGCCTGGGGCCACTGCGCTGGGATTTTGCAGTGGGGGAGAGAGATGGAGCTCAACTCCAAGTACAGCAGGGGCCGGGGGGAGTTTATAGCCTAGGGTCAGGGTGGGGGCAGTGGATGGAAAATGACTGAGAGGACACATGAGGAGTAAGGGGATTTGGGCTAAACCAACTGAACAGGATTATTGCGAAAGAGAGGCCAGGGTGAGCAGACACCACCTATGGGATCTGGGGATGAGGAACCTGAGCAGATACTGAGGGTGGGGGTTTTGGCCGCACTAAACTGGACTTTACAAGGAAGGGCACAGATGGCCGAGGAGAAGATTCAGGAGCCTGAGTAAAGTTGAATTAAACCAAGAATCTGTGTCAGTTTCTACTCCATATCCAACACCAAGAACTTGACCGTTATTATAATTGTTTTCAAAATAAAAGATTAAAATCTTACAATTTTTCTATTCTTAGCTGAGCTTCAGTCATTGTCTATTCCTGGAACTTACCAAGAGAAGATCACCCACCTGGGACATTCTCTGATGAGTTTAACAGGTCTGAAATCTTTGGATCTCTCGCGCAACTCCTTGGTTAGTCTGGAGGTAAGTTTTAGGTCTCTTTCTTAAAATTTATTGCTATCAACATCAGTGGAAAGTCCATTCACAGCAGAAACGGAGTCTGTTTTGTAACCCTCTGCTTACATCTGTATACGGTACACTTTGTGTTGCGTATTTTTGTGTTTACCGTGGGCTACATTTCATACACATCACGTTACGTTGTGTTGTCGCCCTCTGATGACGATGATTATATCTTTAAAGGAAATGAAATGAGACCCCAGAGACTTACTGAGTGGCAGTGCAGTGGGCCTGGGGCTGCCTCCTGGGCTCCTGGCAGGGTCACCCTGGAGAGAGATGCCTAGGTGGTGGTGAGGGGAGCTGTGCACAACTACCATGGCCTGATTGGCCCTGACAGAACCGTGGGATGCGCCTGCCCTGAGCCCGATGCCTGAGCATTATGGAGGCTGCGTCTGCATGGCCTGATTGGCCCGGACAGAACCGTGGGATGCGCCTGCCCTGAGCCTGGTGCCTGAGCATTATGGAGGCCACGTCTGACACCAGCTCGGGAGTCTGCTCCAAGTCAGATGCGGACCTAGCCCAGGCTACACCCAGTGCTGCCTCATCTTTCCCCGTTCCCAGGCCTCAGCTTTCTCATCTGTGAAGGGGGGGCTGATGGTTCTCACCCTGTAGGGCGGCGTGTGGATTAAATGAAATTGTGCGTGCACATCACTCAGCTTGCTGCACGCTGAGGCCTCGGTAGATATTAGCTGTGCTTAGTTGCGTCACATGTGGGTTCCATAAACGACCGTCTCACCGCGTGGGGCCCAGAGAACTTCACAGATGAGAACGTTTCATTTTTCTACTTTTCCTGGTAATGACATGGAGTTATTGCAAATAAGTTTATACAGTTGGTTGGTCAGTGTGTGTTGCTGGCTTATTTCACTGTGTATTTCTTGTTTAAAGTGTGAATGAATTCACTGTGTTTTCTGTTGACAGGGCATTCAGTACCTGACTGCATTGGAGAGTCTCAATCTCTACTACAACTGCATCTCCTCGTTGGCAGAAGTGTTTCGGCTCCACGCCTTAACCGAGCTCGTGGATGTGGACTTCCGGCTGAACCCCGTGGTGAAGGTTGAGCCTGACTACCGCCTTTTTGTTGTGCACCTGCTCCCCAAGCTCCAGCAGCTGGGTAGGCATCAGGCAGGGCCACGCTCATGCTTTTGTCCCCGTGGGGTATGGGAGTCGGGGAGTCGTAGTGGGTGTCTGTGTGCTCAACGTCACATGCTTGATTCCTTCTGGAACGGGGAGTTGGTTTTCTACGCTGGTGGCTTGAGTTCCTGCAGACACACAGCTCGAGAGGCCCTGTGTCTGCACAGGACAGGGCTGGAAGTTGAGCACCCTGGGAGGGCGCAGGGCTGGGGCCGTGGGAGCACAGCCCCGGACCAGGCTGCTACGTCCTGTTCTGGCTCTCCGCGTCATGGCTGTTGGACTTGGGCACGTTCCTGAACATCTCCTGTCCTGTTTCCTCGCATAGCCCCCAGGTATCATCTCAGGTGCAGCTAAACAGCAGGATGCTGCCTGGTTTTGCCCCACTTGGAAGCACACAGGACAAGCAGCTCATTGTCCCCCACACCCCACCACTGGGACAGGGTTGGGAGGGGATGTGCAGTGACCTTTGGATCATGCTCCTGAAAGAAAAGGCTTTCCATGACAGTCTTGTAGGCAGAACTTCCAGGGCCCCCACAGCGATGCCCAGTAGGGAGGGTCCCTGGGTTGGGGCAGCCGCAGGTCACCTTCCCATCTGCCTCCTGCCTCCCCGGAGGCATTGTTGCTGTTGCTGTTGCTGTGAGCACCTGGTGGTGTCTCTGCTGACCCTACCCCGAGTCACAGATCCAGGAGAGAAAGCTGGGGCCTCAGCCCAGGGGCACACTGACCAGAGTCCATGGGGAAGAAGAGGGTGCAGGGTCTCTTACCTCAGTCCTCCTGTGTGAAGTGGGGGGATAAGAATGCTGTGTTGACATGTCGTGGTGGGGAGACCTGAGTTAATATCTGTAAGCTCCCAGACTGCCCGGCATGGCCAGGGGCCTATAAACGTTCCCTGGTTGCTTCTGTTGTTAGGGTCAGACCTACCATGCACCGCTGTTCGAAAGCTGCCCCTCCTTCTGAACCTAGGACCTTATCAAAAACAAAAGAATCACAGAATCCCAACTATCTTGTTAGAACAAAAGACCAACAGAATCACAGAGGACAGAGCACTTTCCCCCACTGCGAGTGCCCTGAACAGGCTGTTTTCCACGGCTGTGGGGAGCATTCAGGTTCTCTTAGAGAACTGAGATTTGTATGTCAATTTCAAGTAAACAGCAGCTAAAGCACGTTGGTGGGTGATGTGCCTGGCCCCTGGGTACTGCCCGTTGTGGGCGTCGGGACTGAGGGCCAGCTGGGGTTTTGCCACCCACCAGATGAACACCCGGCAGCCCTCACCCTGTCAGCCCCATGAAGTTCGTGTGACGTCAGCAAAGCTGCACACCAGAGGTGGGAAAACAGGTGGAGGAGCACCTAAGCGCCTCAGCGAGTAGACCGGGAAGGCTGTCTGGGGCCATCGTGGAGCCATGCGGGGCCGTGTCACCTCATCACAGGGAGGACTGGCCTGCGGTATCTTGATGGTGATGTGATCACACATGTGTTTGTATATGGAATTCTCACATTTTATTTTATTTTTGAGACATAGTCTCGCTTCATCGCCCAGGCTGGAGTGCAGTGGCGTGATCTTAGCTCACTGCAACCTCCGCCTCCCGGGTTCAAGCAATACTCCTGCCGCAGCCTCCCAAGTAGCTGAGATTACAGGTGCGTGCCACTGTGCCCTGCTAATTTGTGTCTTTTTAGTAGAGATAGGGTTTTGCCATGTTGGCCAGGCTGGTTTCGAACTCCTGGCCTCAAGTCATCTGCCCACTCTGGCCTCCCAAAGTGCTGGGAATACAGGCGTGGGCCACTGAGCCTGGCCAAATTCTAACATTTTAAACTGCACTGCTTTGCTACTTGGAGAAGTTTCTGGAGATGCTGGAAAGAGCTGTCAGCATGCAGCACACACACCCTCTGTTTGGTGACAGTGTAGGTTAGTGGTATGGATTGAAATCTGTTTAAAGGAGTCCTCTTGGAAGAATGCCCCAGTCTGCCACAGTTTGACCATTTTTCAGTAACTAACGATCAAAACAATTTTTCTCTGACCTTCTAAAAGTGACTTGAGGAGCTGACAGTATCCCTGGGTCCTGGTGGACTTTGCTCTTGCAGGAGCTCAGCTCCCCTGGGCACTGGGGGCTGGCAGTTGGCAGTGGCAGCATCGGATGGGAGGGCAGCAACTGGGGTGGCATTTGCTGCTCTGCAAGGGCTGGGAGGCACTCAGGGCGTCTGTGTGGCCAAAGTGAGACCTAGCTCCCAGCATCACTGACAGGGAAGACCCTGGCTCACCCACTCATGTGGCAAGTGCTGGGCCCTGGACAGGCCCTGCGGCTGGGCTTCCAGAGCCTGAGCAGTGTGGATAGAGCTCTGTGCTGCAGCTCTTGGCAGCGAGGAGCGCCTCCTTGGGAGCATGCGGCGTGCATGCGTGGTGCTGGCCACCTGAGAGCCTGGCTGCTGTGCCTGACACTCTTCCCCCTGGGATGGGGCCGTGGACATTAACAATGGACCCCCCCAAGACACAGTGTCTGTTTCCAAACCCAATTAGGATTTCGCTGTTTAATTATAAGAGGTTTGGGAGGAATAGGCGCCTGTTTTATAGTGTTTATTTGGCCAATTAACCAAGTAACTCATAAACAGTTGAGTTTGGCTGTTTCAGGAGCTACAGTCCTTATTCTAGGTAATTTTTGGAGTCTTCAGTTCTAAATCATTGCCTCTGTAATCCAAGTTTTAGATTCAGAATCTTAGTGTTTCTGCAGAGAAGGAGCGCAGCCGTCTCCCCTCTTAGTGTTTCTGTAGAGAAGGAGCGCGGCCGTCTCCCTCTTAGTGTTTCTGCAGAGAAGGAGCGCGACCGTCTCCCTCTTAGTGTTTCTGCAGAGAGTTTCTGCAGAGAAGGAGCGCAGCCGTCTCCCTCTTAGTGTTTCTGCAGAGAAGGAGCGCGACCGTCTCCCCTCTTAGTGTTTCTACAGAGAAGGAGCACAACCGTCTCCCCGCATGTGAGAGATGCTTCCTGCAGTGGCGCTGGCAGTCAGAGGCGCTGCGGGAACCACGGAGGTGCGGGGCCCCGGGACGGCCTGCTGCCCTGCGTGGTGCCTCCTGGAGTGGGCTCGGTCCTTGGCTCCGCGTGGGTCATGGAAAGGCCCCGGTGGTGGAGGAGGCAGATAGCAAGGGCCTGCGTGTGGGATGGAGGCGGCGTCTGGAGAGACCTTGCCAGCAGGAGAGGGTGGGCTTGGGGTGAAGGTGAGTTTGCAGTTGGCTTCGGACATGCTGCATTAGAATTTACACAACAGTCCAGAGAAATGTTCTTGGAGTACGGGATTTGGAACTGACTCAGAAGGGAAGCGAGTCTTGGTGGGCAGAGAGCTATGCGTCGTTAGTGCGGGGCTGGTGAAGGCCGGGGTGGAAAGGTTGCGGGAGGGTGGGATTGGGTGCAGGTCTCCTGGCGCACGTGTCTCCTGAGGGTGCCCTGTGTGCTGGGTGGAGAGTGCCCCAGGTTGCAGAGGCCTCTGACTCGGCATCTTTGTGTGATTATCAGAACTCCTCCGTTTTTCTGCTTTGAACATTATATTATGCTATTACTCACTCATTTCTTACAGTGATTCTGTAGTTTTTGGGGCGTGCTGTAGGCTAAATGGAGGCAGCGTGGGAACTTGTCACAGAATTCACATTACAAATGGGGGTTAAGATGTGTTGTAAGTTCCAAAGCGCCAAGGTTGAAGGCCTGGGGACCTTCTTATCTTCAGGGATTTACATGAGGAAGCTCCAGGAGTTCTTGGGTGGGAGCCTGGTGGCCCCAGGTACGCACGTCCCTGAGGCCCAGCCCTAAGCACAGACCCAAAAGGCCTCCTGGAAGTTGCAGCCTCTCGGGCCGGGCAGGCTCCCTCCGTGGAGGCTTCTCTGGGTTACCTGAGTGTGACTTGAGAATCCCACCCCGCACCCGGTGTGCACTTTAGAGAAAGGGTGTGCGTGTGTGTGTGTGAGCCTCATCTGTGTGCGGCTGCTCCCGTGCGCAGCAGTGAGCTCTGAGGGACAGGCGGCCTCAGCACCACGCTGGGCATCGCCGGGAAGCTGTGGGACCACCAGAGCCCAGCATTCCGGTGCTAGGTTAGTGGGAGCAGGGCTGGCCCCGAGGGGATGGACACCCTGCCCCGTGTAGATGCCCCAGGGTGGATGCAGCCGCCCGCCGCTTGCCACCTGCACAGTCTTGTGTGGCCTTTTCTTCTAGACGATCGCCCCGTGAGAGCAAGCGAGCGGAAGGCTTCCCGACTGCATTTTGCATCAGAGGACTCACTCGACTCCAAAGAGAGCGTCCCAGCTTCTTTGAAAGAGGGCAGGTATGAACGGAAGTGCTACGGACACCCAGAGTGTTTCTGACTGGCCTGCTGTCAGGAGGATTAACCGAACGTCATTCACTGTGTGCCGGTCACTCTCCAGGGGCGGACACCAGGAGGGAGGAAGGGCAGAGCCTGCCTGGCGGGGACTCCGTGGACAGTGGGACGGGGCCTCTCTCCTGTTCTCCACATTCCTAGGAGTTATTTTTAATATCGAAACTGTTGATTAAGGTAATATGTGTAAAATCAACTCAGCAAAGGGCTTGTCCTGTCCCTTTCCCGGGGCTGGCAGCTCTCACGTCTGTGGCTGCCTCTGCTTCCAGCTCTCGCTTCAGCTACTTTCTTAGCTGCCCATCCAGCCAAATCCCACTTCTGGCCGTGAGCACATTCAGCAGGACCCGTCTTCCTGGATCGAGGAGGACTTCTTCCTCCCCCACCCTTTCTGTGACGGTGCCGGGATGCGCCTTCCTGTCTCCCTCCCCATGGCTGGTGCTGGTGAGGCCACCTTCGGAGACCGTGGGCGTGTGTGTGAGCCGGGCCTGCTTCCCCTTGCAGCCCCAGCCCTGCTGCCTGCATGTCTATGTTCGGTTGATAGTATCTGCGTGTATCCCAAAACCCTAGAGAGACTTCGTGCTTTGTTTATGGGTTGATTCAAGGGGCAGAAATCAGTGGACTCTGTCTGCATAGCCGTGGAAAGTGGTCGGATTGTACACTTTCTTGAGTACCATTTGTCTTGTCTGAGGCTTTTAATCAAATCATTTTTTTTCTTGTGTGAGATGCCTCCACTCATTTTAAACTCCTAGTGCAGGGATCAGTCAGCTTTTTTGTGTGAATGTTTTGGGCCCTGGAGGCTGCGTGACCTCTGTCCCATCTTCTTAGCTCTGCCTTTGCAGGGCGGAGGCAGCCATTGGCAGCACGGAAGCCAGGATGGTGTGCCCGTAAGATGCCCACGCACAGCGCAGGCAGGGGCCCGATTTGAGCCGTTTTTTGCTGACTTCTCTTCCAGTGTCTCCGAAATGGCTCTGCATCCCTGGGATCGCCTCTTCCCTCAGATACCTGTCCTGCAGCCCCCATCACCCCATTTCAAACCAGACTACTTGCTGCGTGGACAGCAGCACTCTGGTACCTGCACCTTCTGCTCATGTGAGCCGTGCGGGAGAAGCTGTTCCATGCCCCTCCTGGCTGCTGGTGATCTACGCAGCCGCTGGCGTTGTTTGTCTCGGAGGGCCTCCCTCCAGCCCTGCTCTCACAGGCCGTCTTCCCCTGTGTCTCTTCACAGAATCTCTCCTCCGTGCCTGTCTCTCTACGGGGCCAGGTTTCCCCTTCTTAGAAGGACACCAGTGATCGTGGATCAGGGCCCACCTTAATGGCCTCATGGTAATTTGATTGCCTCTGTAAGTCGCTGTTTCCAAGAAAGGTTGCATTCCGAGGCACTGGGTTAAGGACTTCAACATGTCTTTTGGGTGGGGGGCAGGGGGGGGCGGCACAGTGCGCCACTCCTGACACCTGGAATCCTGCACCCTGGCTGTCATCACTTGTTAGTTTCATGGGGTTTTCTTTTGGATTCTTTGTCATTTTTTACATAGAAAATCATGTCATCTGTGAACAGTTTTATTCCTTCCTTCCAGATCGGTATACCTTTTATTTCCTTTTCTTACCTTACTGCCTTATCTGGGGCTTCCAGCATGATGTTGGGAAGTCTGGTGAGAGGGAGCATCCTAGCCTCACCTCCTGTCTTGGTGGGAGAGCATCTGGTTTCCAGCGCAGCCTTGCGCCTGCTGGCCATGGATGATAGGTGTTGTCTTCATGCGGAGAAGGCTCTCTTCCACTCTCAGTTTGCTGAAAGGAATCATCATGAAGGAGTGTTAGATTTTGTCAAATGCTTTTTCTGCATCTATGATGTGATCTTGTGATTTTCTCCTTCAGCCTGTTGCTGTGAAGGATTTTCAAACATTGAACTGGGCCAGCCACAGTGGCTAACACCTGTAATCTCAGTGCTTTGGGAGGCCAAGGTGGGAGGATTGCTTGAGGCCAAGAGTTTGAGACCAGCCTGGACAACATAGTGAGACTCTGTCTGTAAGAAAACTTTTTTTTTTCTTAATTAACTGGGTATGGTGGTGCGTGCCTGTAGTCCCAGCTACTCGGGAGGCAGGAAGACCCCCTGAGCCTGGGAGTTGGAGGCTGCAGTGAGCTATGATCGCACCACTGCACTCTAACCTGGGTGACAGAGTGAGACCCTGTCTGTAAGAGAAATAGAAGTAAGTATTGAGCCAGCCGTGCATACCTAGAATAAATCCTGCCTGATTGTGGTATGGAATTC